>NC_000011.10:34908484-35060000 GCF_000001405.40 Homo sapiens | reverse complement strand
ACCTGGCAGAAAGCATCTTTAAAGGTAAAGTGTCTTCTCATTTTGAGGTGCCCTCACATCCACCTAGACTGCCATCTCTGGACATCATAAAGTCATATCCCCACACTTCGTTCTACAAGTGGCCCCTAGCATAGGCCTCACTGCCATTCCAGGCAGTGCCTGGTACCTGGTTCTTCTCATCCTCCCTGCTTTATCTCCACTGGCACTTTCCTGTGTGCAGCAGATTTATGCACCACAATACTCTGCAAGTTTCAGCTACTAATACTACCTCTAGTATTTCTAATAATAAATAAAATGTATTGTGTTCTGACTGTGTCAGGCATTGTGATTAGTGCTGTGCCTGAATTACCTTATTTAATCCTGACTACCACCCTAGGAAGTAAATACCTTTTGCCTGCCCCTTAAGGATTTACACTATCCTCTCAAGTATCCTGATTTCCCCACTCATTTTTTTTCCTTCTCTGTTAGTTTCAATGTTTCCATAGAATATAGCTTTTCTGAGCTAGAAAGGACCTGAGAGACATTTGATTTGACAAATGAGGAAATGAATGCCCAGAGAGAGGATGGATTTACCTCAGGCCTCCTCACCTCATGATTGGCAGAAAAAGGATTAGAATTCAGGTCTCTTGACTACAGGACAATGTGCTTCTCTCACACACATTTCCCAGGTTCAGCACCCGGCAAACAGACTAGTCTCCTCCTACCCAATTTACTTCCTTCCTGTTTCCATTTAAATTTCTTCAGTCTTGTCTATGATGATAGCTACTTCCACTTCCTCAACTTCTGTTCTCTCTTTGACCTCTCCAATCTTACTTCCTCACTGCAACTGCTCTCACTGAGACCACCCATGACTTTCATGTCACACAGCCCTGTGGCCTCCCCTCTCTCTCATCTTCCTTAACCTCTCAGCTAGCCTCGACCCACGTGATTGTTCCCCTCTTTTTTTTTTATTATACTTTAAGTTCTAGGGTACATGTGCCTCACAAACATGGTTGAAGGTGATTGGGGAGCAAAGTAACATCTTACATAGTGTCAGGCAAGAGAGCTTGTGCAGGGGAACTCTCATTTATAAAACCATCAGATCTCGTGAGACTTATTCACTACCATGAGAACAGTATAGGGAAACCACCACCACAATTCAATTATCTCCACCTGGTCTCAACCTTGCCATGTGGGGATTATTACAATTCAAGATGATATTTGGGTGGGAATACAGCCAAACCATACTGATAGCTCCAATCCTGACTTTGCTCTTGAGTTCTAGGCTTTGAACTTCTTACTCGATATCTTTGTTTGGATGTTGTTGTAACTGGGTTTTCTATAGAACAAAGCCTGAAGCAAGAATTAAGGTGCCAACAGTTTAACTGAGAGGTGCAAGTTCAAGGTATTGCATGTAGGAGTAAAAGGGAAGGGAGGTCAGGGAAGGTACATAATACATGTATTGTGACATGATGAATGATATGATGTGGTAAGCCACATTACCATTTTGGCTACCACTTCACAGGGAGCTGCAAAGAGACCCAGCAGGTCACTTGGAATTTGTGTTCACTCAGCATGTGGGACTTCTTCAGAAGAGTTACTGGAAGATATTGAGAAGGGAATGAAGAATGTAGCTGGCTGGCTCCATTTTGGATCCCATTGTCCTTTGGGATTTACCCTTGAAGAGCTAACTGTATACTTCCAGTATGCATAATCATTATCATAATATTTATTCCTTTACTATGCATGAAGCCACCTTGTTGTGTGATGTTTTATTCAAGTCTGAAAGTGAAAAAGTGACCCAGAGCTGATAGAGGCTTGGCCAGGAGAGAGAGAAAGAATGAGGCTATATAATGTTTGTGGCTCAATGCAGATGTCTATTAGACATTTCAAACTGAACATGACTAAACAGAACTCAACTTCCTTCTCCCAGCTGAACTGATTTCCTCCTCCCTCATAGTGTTTCTCATCTCAGAAAATGGCACCCTTTTCTCCATTGCTGAACCTGGGTCAATAGAACTATCAACTCGGGAGGAAGCCCCTGAAATAGCCTGTGAGCCAGTCCCCTCATTACCTTCTTGTTTCCTTTCTACGTATTTGTCACATAAAAAGAGTGAACTTTTATTTTTATTTTTTTAAGACAGGGTCTCCCTCTTCACCCAGGCTGGAGTACACTGGCGCATTCACAGTTCACTATAGTCTCAACCTTCCAGGCTCAAGTGATCCTCCCACCTCAGCCTCCTAAGAAGTTGGGACTATAGGCATGTGCCACCATGACTGGCTAATTTTTGGATTTTTAGTAGAGACAGGGTTTTGCCATGTTGCCCAGGCTGGTCTCAAACTCCTGGGCTCAAGTGATCCATCTGCCTTGGCCTCCCAAAGTGCTGGGATTACAGGCATGAGCTATAACTTGGGGCCAAGAGTGACCTTTTAAAAGGAATGCAGGAATGTTCTCTTTAGCTTTGGTGCTCTGTCCCATCATGTAGCCCTGAAATCAAATCACTAACTAAGAAAGGCTTTCCCTGACTCCACTATTGAAAAAGCCTTCCCTCCCATGACACTCTGCATTACCCTGTTTTATTTCATTCTTAGTACTTACCACTCTCTGAAATTCCCTTTTTATGTATGTGTAATGTATTGTCTCTCTCTCCCACTATAATGTAAGCTCCATTTAGGTACAGAGGGTCTATTATCTGTCTCCCTGTATCCACAGCACCTAGTATAGTCCTGGGTACATAGGAGGGCCTCTATAAGTGTTTGCTGAATGAATGAGTGATAGGATGAACTGTAGGTGAACTGAGGGATTAACTGTGTGGCAGGGAATATATATGTTTGCCTGAATTTTCATCTGGTTAGGTCGTTCTACAACTAAATTGAGAGCAGGGAATATGGGCAAATTGAAGGGTATTATTTAGGTCCTGCTAGAGTTCAAAGTGAGCTTAGGGATCAGTTAACAGCCTTTCTCCTGCCCCCAGTTTTTAAAATTAGACTTTTAAAATTGAGATAATTATAGATTCACATCTAATTTAAGAAATCATATAGGAATTCCTTATACTCTTCTCCAGTTTCCCCTAGTGGTGTATCTGGTAAAAAAAAAAAAAAAAAAAAAAAAAAAAGATGTAATATCACAACCAGGATGTTGACATTGATACAATAAAATACAGTGCATTCCTTCACTGTAAGGATTCTTCATGTTTTCTTTTTATAGCCACACACACCTCCCTCCTGACACCACCTCCTTAACCCCTGACAAGTCCTAACCTGTTCTTCAGTTCTACTATTTTCTTATTTCAAAAACCTCATGTAACTGTTTGAGATTGGCCTTTTTCACTTAGCACAATTCTCTGGAGATTCACGCAAGTGGTTGCATGCATCAATAATTCATTCCTTCTTATTAATGAGTAGTATTCCATAGTATGAATCTGTCACAGCTTGTTTAAGCATTTGCCCATTGAAGGACATATGAGTCATTTCCAGGTCTTGGCTATTTTGAATAAAGCTGCTATACATATTCAAGCACAGGCTTTGTGTAAATATAAATTTTTATTTTTCTGGGATAAATGACTAAAAACAACCCAACCATTGTTGGGTTGTATATTTATTTAAGAAACTGCATATTGATTTATAGGGTGGTTGTACCATTTTATACTCCCACCAGCAATATTTAAATGATCCAGCTTCGACACATGCTCACCACATTTGGAAAAATCGAGGAGTGTTATTTAGATCCTGCCGGAGTTCCAGGTGAGTTTGGGGATTCCTTAACAGCCTTTCTTTTCCCCCAACTTTTAAAAAAGACTGATGTTCCATCCCTAGTTTGGCTCAGATGGCAGATTACATTAACGATAAAAGCCAACCACCATCTAGATAAAACAGTCCACCAAGCCAAGTCCACCATTTTCCTTTAGGACAACAAGAAAGGAAACTCATACACTTTCTGAACTTCCTAGTTAACTGTAAATAATGTCAGAAAAGATGAACCATGCTTTGAGGTTTTTGAGGAGAGTATGTGGCAGGACTCAGGCCGAGACCTTGATAAACCATAGGATACCACACAGGCCAAATCAGGCAGGGAGGAGACACCTTGTATCAGTCCATTCTCATGCTGCTATGAAGAAATGCCCAAGACAGGGTAATTTATAAAGGAAAGAATTTCAATTGACTCACAGCTCCGCAGGGCTGGGGAGGCCTCAGGAAACTTAACACTCACGGTGGAAGGAAGAGCAAACATGTCCTTCTTCACATGGCAGCAGCAAGAAGGAGTACAGAGTGAAGCCAGCGGGGAAGCCCCTTATGAACTCATTCATTATCACAAGAACAGCATGGAGGCAACCGCCCCCATGATTCGATTACCTCCCACCGGGTCCCTTCCATGAAGGGGGATTATGGGAACTACAATTCAAGATGAGATTCAGGTGGTGACACAGCCAGACCATATCACACCTTGACCATGTTTTTTATAAACTCCTGGTAGAAGGACTTTGCAGATGGAAGTGGCAACAGCAGAAATGCATGTCTGAATGTATATTACCTTCCCTGAGCCCAACCCGGATTAAAGGCTGCTTCTAAGAGGGAAAAACTTAGTTTTAATGTTTGGAACTGGGGTCATCCTGGAATTTTCTTTTTTGAGGGGCTTCAGAAGACAAAATAGAGAGGGAGAAAAATCTGTCTTCAGCTCCTTTCATGGTGGCCCACAGTGTCTTAGCCTTGTTTCTACTTTCTCTGGGTGTCTAGCTTCTCTGGAGCCCTCCCTCTCTTCCTCAGCCTTGCCCTTCTCTCATCTTCTCAAAGTCATCTGTTTTCCAACACCTTAATGATTACTATTTTATTTAACATATACTTATATAGTGATTGCTATTTCCCAGGTATTGTCTTATGGTTTTATAAATATGAGCTTCATTAAAACTTATAACAATCCTATGAGGTAGAAATTATTAATTTCCCAATTTCACTGATGAGGGAACTTAGGTGCAGAGAATTCAGGGATCTTGCTCATAAGTGGCAAAGATGAGATTCAAAATCCAGGCAATTGCTCCAGAATCCATGCTCTTAATCACTACGGTATGATGACTTTCTATGACTGACAAATGTGCTTTAAAACAGCAGTCCCCAACCTTTTTAGCACTAAAGACTTGTTTTGTGGAAGACAATTTTTCCATGGAGCAGGGGCAGGGATGGTTTTGGGATGATTCAAGCACATTACATTTATTGTGTACTTTATTTTTATTATTGTTTCATTGTAATATATAATGAAATAAGTTCACTCATGATTTGGCTCTCTGTCTGTTGTTGGTGTATAAGAATGCTTGTGATTTTTGTACATTGATTTTGTATCCTGAGACTTTGCTGAAGTTGCTTATCAGCTGAAGGAGATTTTGGACTGAGACAATGGGGTTTTCTAGATATACAATCATGTCGTCTGCAAACAGGGACAATTTGACTTCCTCTTTTCCTAATCGAATACCCTTTATTTCCTTCTCCTGCCTAATTGCCCTGGCCAGAACTTCCAACACTATGTTGAATAGGAGTGGTGAGAGAGGGCATCTCTGTCTTGTACCAGTTTTCAAAGGGAATGCTTCCAGGTTTTGCCCATTCAGTATGATATTGGCTGTGGGTTTGTCATAGATAGCTCTTATTATTTTGAGATACGTCCCATCAATACCTAATTTATTGAGAGTTTTTAGCATGAAGGGTTGTTGAATTTTGTCAAAGGCCTTTTCGGCATCTATTGAGATAATCATGTGGTTTTTGTCTTTGGCTCTGTTTATATGCTGGATTACATTTATTGATTTGCGTATATTGAACCAGCCTTGCATCCCAGGGATGAAGCCCACTTGATCATGGTGGATAAGCTTTTTGATGTGCTGCTGGATTCGGTTTGCCAGTATTTTATTGAGGATTTTTGCATCAATGTTCATCAAGGATATTGGTCTAAAATTCTCTTTTTTGGTTTTGTCTCTGCCAGGCTTTGGTATCAGAATGATGCTGGCCTCATAAAATGAGTTAGGGAGGATTCCCTCTTTTTCTATTGATTGGAATAGTTTCAGAAGGAATGGTACCAGTTCCTCCTTGTACCTCTGGTAGAATTCGGCTGTGAATCCATCTGGTCCTGGACTCTTTTTGGTTGGTAAGCTATTGATTATTGCCACAATTTCAGATCCTGTTATTGGTCTATTCAGAGATTCAACTTCTTCCTGGTTTAGTCTTGGGAGAGTGTATGTGTCGAGGAATTTATCCATTTCTTCTAGATTTTCTAGTTTATTTGCGTAGAGGTGTTTGTAGTATTCTCTGATGGTAGTTTGTATTTCTGTGGGATCGGTGGTGATATCCCCTTTATCATTTTTTATTTTATAATGAAATAATTATACAACTCACCATAATGTAGAATCAGTGGGAGCTCTGAGCTTGTTTTTCTGCAACTAGACAGTTCCATCTCGGGGTGTTGGGAGACAGTGACAGGTTATCAGGTATTAGGTTCCCATAAGGAGCACGCAACCTAGATCCCTCACACACACAGGTTGAAATAGGGTTGGCATTCCTATGAGAATCTAATGCCACCACTGATCTGACAGGAGGCAGAGCTCAGATGGTAATGTGAGCAAGGAGGAACAGCTGTAAATACAGACGAAGCTTCAGTCGGTCACCCAGGGGTTTGGGACCCCTGCTTTAAACTATTCTGTTTCTCAAGGCCTTTGGTATTTTGGAAAGGCAAAAAGCCTTCCGCTGAAAGAATGAAACATTTGGGACTTCAGATGGCAAATGACAGGTCTATCTGGGGCCACCCCTGCCTTCCAGGTGCCCATCATCCATATCATATCCTATCACCCAGGCTGAGGGTTGCCCAGGACACCCTCACAGAAGAATTTAGTGCATATAGCAGCTCTATCTTGTGCAGGTTATTTCGAAGAAATGCAACTGACATTTAGGAAATGGAATTACTATGTGCCAGAGATTGTGCTAGGAGGTGTACTTGTGCTATATCATCATCCATGTAGGGCAGATAGTATTAAGTCTCTCTTAAATAAATTAGGAAATCGAAGGATCAAGTGGTAAATGGGTAGGTAATTAACATAAGTCACACAACTTGAAATGGCAGTCCCAGGTCTGCCTGAACCCAACACTTGGTCTCTTTTTACAACACAAACTTGATTATAGAAAGGTTAGAGCTTCTAGTTTTGTGTTCTTTATTTTTAGTCACAATGCCAGTTTTGGCAAATGACAAGGTAAGAATAGAACCTTCCATTTCCTTGCCCATGAATCAGTTACTCCCCCAGATTTTTTCATTTTAGACCATGGCTCTACCACTAGCCTAGGGGCCCAAATAAAAAACTCAAGACTTGGCCTTTCCTTCTCCCTTACCCTGTCTTCTGTTTTTGCAGTTTATCATCAAGTTATGTCAATGCTATCTCCAAAGTACATTATGAGCCCATCTATTTCTGTGCATCCCCACCAGCAGACCCGAGTCCAAGCCTCATCATCCATTGCCCAAACTACATCAACAGTGCCTTCCTCTTCACGCCTCGTCCACCCTACAATTTATCTTCATAAGATGTGTATGCTTTTCTTAAGATGTGCATTGGATGTTGTCCCTTTGTTTTTAAGAGTTTTCCAGCTGGATTTGATGTCACTTTCCCATGCTGTCACTAATCCCCAGCCACAACAGAATGGGTCACACTCTTCTGCACTTTGGACCCTTTGCCCATGCCAGAGTTATCCGCTGACCCTCTTCCCATGGCTGTCACCTCTTCAAAAAGGTCCACTGAACCTGAAGTAGATGTCCTCCCTCTATTAAGATTCAACGTATCAAATCCACCCTTTCAAAGTCTTAGACTAGCACCTGGCATACAGTAAGTACTCAATTAATGTCAGCTTTTGTTTTTGTTTTGACCGTCGTTATAGTGAATATTCTAAAAATACATGCCTAGGTGATTAGATAAATGGAGCAGGGAAGAGAAATCACATCAATATCTGGGCCCCCAGGGCTTCTAAGAGAGGCAGCTTAGATATATTTTAAGGAGAAACAGTTTAGGCTTCTAAATCCTCCTTCCTGCCTTAAAAATAAATGTTATTGGTATGATTGTCACATAGACAAGTACTATGTGCATAATGGAGGCATGTTTTACAATAGTAGTATAAGATGTATTTTAAAAAATACAAGAACACTTAAACTATATTTTTAAAAGCAGTGTTCAGACCTGTCTGATTGATTTTCCTAAACAGGTTTTGCCCCAGCTCTTGCAGATCCTCATCAAGTTTTTTCTGACTTAGCAACAAATATCTAAAATAAAGTTTATCTTTTCAATTTCCAGTCTCCTTGCTGACAAAAAAGGAAATGACTTCTGAAGACATGAAAAAAAAAAAACAGGGTGAAGACAAATTGGGTTAGAATAACCCATGACCTAGATCATTAGACTTTGACTAATGAAGAACTGCCTTTTAACAGAGTTAAAATTGACAGCACCATGGCCTCACACCCAACAGGGTTTGAGGCTGGACCCTTCTTTGACAAACGATGCCCTGATTTACGCGCAAAAATACCCATCACAGCATTATTTATAATATTCCCTGTCCAATGCTGGGGACCTAGTTCAATTAGCTATAGAACAGCCATTTGATGAAATATTATAAAGCTATTAAAATAATAGGGGCAAAGAAATTTTAAAACATGGGGAAAGCCTTGATGTTGTAATATTAAATGAATGAAGGAATTCTATGAATGAAACTCATTAAAACATGTCTTCACAGTAGCTGCATTGATTGCACATTTACTATCGTTCAGGCATCTTTTCCAAATGTGATACAGGAGGGCAAGCTTGGAAACAAGACGGGAACCTCTTGATCCATGGCACAATGCTGTCGACCCCTAAGTTCTTCCTCTTTATCTAAACCCAGGTTTGGAAGTACACCAAAATATTAATACTATACATCATTGCAAGCTTTCCTTCTTTGATCCTCTGTATTTTGTAAATGTTCCAACACCTTTTAAAATACACTTTTGTTCTCCTTTAAAGTCTCCCTGAGAGCTTCTAGAAGGCAGCTGCTGTGGGCTCACATCATCCATCCTTCCCCCCGCAAATGTGTAAATAAAGAAACACCTCTGTGCCTTTAAATTATAACAGGCTAAACTTTCCCCTGTAAGTTGATACTCAGACCAGAAGTCTGTGGGTAGGAAGAGTGTTGTGTTTTTTTGTTGCAGCTTCTTTTGGCTGATAAACTAGCACTTAAGTGTTTCCCTTTTCCAAACCCCCAAATGACAAGTATCTTTGTGGTAAAGTGATGGCCCAACTGTCATGGCCATCATAAACGGTGCTGAGGACACTTATTTTTAGTTTACTGTCTAAGGAAGCACTAGGCTTGCTAACCAGAGACCTTGGGGCCCAAACCCCTATGATCCCCAGAACGGAGCTTTTAAAGAGAAAGAAAGGTGAGGCAACCAAAGCTCTTCGGCGGAGCGCAAGCTCCTTTTCTCCAGATGGGCCAGAAAGACAAGGCAGAGATCTTACTTTTGGTGAGAAGACTGTAATCCTCATTTTACATAGTATAATTTTACCAAAGATGCTATGAAACAGAAACATGTTGATTCTATTTAAATAAATGTAAACTCTGGCAGCCTTGGGGAGCCATTACAGCAATGAGGCTGATGACAAGAAACAGAAACACTTCTGCAGACATCTGTTCCTGTGGTCTCCTCAGCAACCTTTTCTCCCATCAGCTAACACAGCTTCATTATTTCACTGAGGAGCTGCTATTCTCTTTGGCATTCACTTTTAAAGCAAGGTGCCTCACCTTCCCTTGGTCAAGTAATTGGCATGTTACCAAGTGCATTAATTCGTTTTCATGCTGCTGATAAAAGCATACCAGAGACTGGGAAGAAAAAGAGGCTTAATTAGACTTACAGTTCCACATGGCTGGGGAGGCCTGAGAATCGTGGCGGAAGGTGAAAGGCACTTCTTACATGGCAGCAGCAAGAGAAAATGAGGAAGAAGCAAAAGTGGAAACCCCTGATAAACCCATCAGATCTCCTGAGACTTATTCACTATCATGAGAATAGCATGGGAAAGATGGGCCCCCATGATTCAATTATCTCCCCCTGGGTCCCTCCTACAACACGTGGGAATTCTGAGAGATATAATTCAAGTTGAGATTTTGGCAGGGACACAGCCAAAGCATATCATTCCACCCCTGGCCCCTCCAAATCTCATGTCCTCACATTTCAAAACCAATCATGCCTTCCCAACAGTCCCCCAAAGTCTTAACTCATTTCAGCATTAACCCAAAAGTCCACAGTCTAAAGTCTCATCTGAGACAAGGCAAGTCCCTTCCACCTATGAGCCTGTAAAATCAAAAGCAAGGTAGTTACTTCCTAGGTACAACAGGGGTACAGGTATTGGGTAAATACAGCCATTCCAAGTGGGAGAAATTGGCCAAAACAAAGAGGTTACAGGCCCCATGTATGTCCAAAATCCAGTAGGGCAGTCAGATTTTAAAGCTCCAAAATGATCTCCTTTGGCTCCAGATCTCACATCCAGGTCACGCTGATGCAAAAGGTAGGTTCCCGTTGTCTTGGGCAGATCTTCCCCTGTGGCTTTGCAGGGTACACCTTCCCTCCCAGCTGCTTTCACAGACTGGCATTGAGTGTCTGTGGCTTTTCCAGGCTCACGGTGCAAGCTGTCAGTGGATGTACCATTCTGGGGTCTGGAGGACAGTGTCCCTCTTCTACAGCTCCATGAGGCAGTGCCCCAGTAGGCTCTGTGTGGGGGTGCCACCCCACATTTCCCTTCTTCACTGCCCTAGCAGAGGCTCTCCATGAGGGCCCCACCCCTGCAGCAAACTTTTGCCTGGGCATCCAGGCATTTCCATACATCCTCTGAAATCTAGGCAGAGGTTCCCAAAGCTCAGTTCTTCACTTCTGTGCACCCACAGGCTCAACACCATGGGTAAGCTGTCAAGGCTTGGGGGTTCCACTCTCTGAAGCCACAGCCCAAGCTCTATGTTGCCCCTTTTAGCCATGGCTGCAGCAGCTGGGTCACAAGGGAACCAAGTCCCTAGGCTGCACACAGCACAGAGAACCTGGGTCCAGGCTACAAAACCACTTTTTCCTCCTGGCCTCCAGGCCTGTGATGAGAAGGGCTGCCGGGAAGGTCTCTGACATGGCCTGGAGACATTTCCCCATGGCGGTAGGGATAAACATTAGGCTCCTTGCTACTTATGCCAATTTCTGCAGCCAACTTGAATTTCTCCTCAAAAATAGGATTTTTTTTTCTACTGCATCATCAGGTTGCAAATTTTCTGAACTTTTATGCTCTGTTTACCTTTTAAAATGGAATGCTTTTAATAGCACCCAAGTCACCTTTTGAATGCTTTGCTGCTTAAAACTTTCTTCTATCAGATACTCTAAATAATTCCTCTCAAGTTCAAAGTTCCACAAATCTCTAGGGCAGGGCAAAGTGTCGCCAGTCTCTTTTTTAAAACACAATGAGTCATCTTTGCTCCAGTTCCCGACAAGTTCCTCGTCTTCATCTGAGACCATCTCAGCCTGGACTTTATTGTTCATATCACTATCAGCACTTTTGTCAAAGCCATTCAACAAGTCTCTAGGAGGTTCCAAACTTCCCCACATTTTCCTGTCTTCTTCTGAGTCCTCCAAACTGTTCCAACCTTTACCTGTTACCCAGTTCCAAAGCTGTCTCCACATTTTTGGGTATCTTTTCAGCAACTCCCCACTCGACTGGTCCCAATTTACTGTATTCATTCGTTTTCCTGCTGCTGATAAAGACATACCTGAGACTGGGAAGAAAAAGATGTTTAATTGGACTTACAGTTCCACGTGGCTGGGGAGGCCTCAGAATCATGGCGGGAGGTAAAAGGCACTTCTTATATGGTGGCAGCAAGAGAAAATGAAGAAGAAGCAAAAGTGAAAACCCCTGATAAACCCATCAGATCTCATGAGACTTATTCACTATCATGAGAATAGCATGGAAAGACTGGCCCCCATGATTCAATTTTCTCCCCCTGGGTCCCTCCTACAACACATGGGAATTCTGAGAAATGCAATTCAAGTTGAGATTTTGGTGGGGACACAGCCAAACCATATCACCAAGCAAGGCCAATTGACTTTCTCCAGAAAAGAGAATCCCTGAGTAAAGTGACATGAGGAACCACTAGCTAATGAATAGTTTATGAATGTCTCCAACGTAGGTTTCTAATTTCCTGTCCCATATGCAGCCAGATTCTTTAGCTTTTTATTTGATTCTGTGAGATATCCTGTAGTCTTCTAATATGTATGTGTGTATGGTACAAATATGTGTATGTGTGTTTTAATTTTCTTTTTTAAAATTAGCTAAAGTTGGTTTCTTTTGCTTGGAATAAAAAAGAATTTATCTAAAATGAGAGTCCCAACATATTTCACTGCCTATGCAAATCTATGCCTAGCTCTGAACCAGAGTTCTCCTCCTCACTAAATATTTTCAACTTAGGGGTAAATGGTCCCTCCTTCTTAAACAGGAAGTGTGTAATGCTGAACTTTATAAAAGCATTGGTGCTTTTTTTTCCTTCCTTTTTCTATGAATGCAAGCTTCTTACCACTTCCTAACCAGCAGCAGCCTCAGAGGAGTCCCCCACCACAGACAGAAGAGGGAGCAAGGTCCTCCCCATCACCTGAGTCTCACATGGTTCTAGGACCCCATGGTTCTTGAGCTGGAAACCAGACCCCAGTATCGACCTCTCAGAGACTGACAACCCCTGACAGAGGTGCCTCAGACTCCATGATAGAAATATTGGATGTCAAAAGCAATGCTCTCAACAGCACAAGGTTCTGTCAAAGACAGTGCAATGAGAGCCAGCTTCCCCCACCCCTAATAAAACAGGGCCTCCTCAATCCCAGTCACACACAGAGACAGCCTCAACATACATGCCAAAAGGATGGACAATGATACTCGATCACCACCACTGCCATTGCTGCTGTTACTTTGTATGAGATGAGCAGAGCACTCCAGTCTGAATGTTTGGGTGCCCCCACATTCATATGTTGAAAGCTAATTACCAAGGTGATAGGTAGGAGCTAATTACCAAGGAAAGGAGAGGAGGTGATGGTTAGGAGGTGGGGCCTTTTGGGAGGTAATTAGGTCACGAAGGTGGAGCCCTTATGAATAAATTAGTGCCCTTGTAAGAGGCCTTGAGAATTGCCTTGCCCCTTCCATCCTGTGAGGACACAGTGAGAAGGTGTCATCTATGACAAACTGGACCCTCAGCAGAAAAAAAATCTACCCACACCTTGATCTTGAACTTCACAGCCTCCAGAACTGTGAGAAAGAAATTTCTGTTGCTTACAAGCCACCCAATCTATGGTGTTTTGTTATAGTAGCCCGAATGGTCTAAGACAATGGACAATATCTCATATCTACAATAGTATAAATATATTTTCAAGCATCTTTTACTTCACTTATGTATTTATATATCATAATCCAGTAAGGCAGGAAGGGCCAACAACATTAGTCCTATTTTATGGATTTGGAAAATGAAGTACATGCCAGTACTATCATGTTAGATCTTGCGTTACTACTGACAATGACGATGATAGTCATAGATGTCAAATTATCAGATCCTCTCTCCAGAAATCTTTTAATTTACTCATTATTTTTAAGAGATATAGTCTTGCTCTTTTGTCCAAGCTGCAGTGCAGTGGCACAATCATAGCTCACTACAGCCTCAAACTCCTGGGTTCAAACTCCTCCTGTCTCAGCCTCCCAAGTAGGTAGGACTACAAGCTTGCACCACCAGACCCGGTGATTTTTTTCTTTTTTGTAGAACAAAGGTCTTGCTATGTTGCCTATGCTTATCTTGAACTCCTGACCTCAAGGGATCCTCCTGCCTTGGCCTCCCAAAGTGCTGGGATTAAAGGCATGAGCCTCCTGGCCCTGAAATATCTTGAAAGCACAGCAAGAACAATAAGAGTTCATATTTATTGCACGTCTCCTATGTGCTTTGAATGTATTGAAGTAGATGCAATTGTCCTTATTTGAAAGTTAAAGAAACTGAGGTTCAGAAAGATTAAGTATATTGCCTACGACCACATCATTAGTAAGTGATTGAACCAGGATGTGAATCCATGCAGTCTGACTCCAAAGTCATGCACTAGACTAATAAGTGACACCTCTGTTAGCCCATTTTTTAAAGAAAACTCCATTAGAATATGTCAACAAGACCCTTAGATCTTGTTCTTATAACATTTATAGCACTTTTTAGTCTGAGAGTAAACATCATACCTGCTGAGGACAGAAGTGGCTCTTCACTAATATTTTCAGCTCAGAGTGAAAAGGTGGGAGAACTCAAAGAGAAGAGTGTTTAAGTCCATCCCATAGTCCTAGATGGCTTAAAGGACTTGGGTAAACACTCAGCTGTGAAACATTAACAAAGCTCCCAGCCTTGGTGGGTTGCTTCACCTGGGTATGCCAGGCCAACAGAAGTATCTGTAGTAGCCTGGAAAATATCAAGGATCTAATAAATCAACTGATGCTGAAAACAAGCTTGACTTCCTTCCGCAATGTGTATCTCTGCCATCGCAGTCTTCACAGCACGGCAGACACTAAAATGTGACAGGAAACCCAATCGTCTAGCCTAGCGAGTTATTTTCAAAGCGTTGCTAGGGTGATGGGGAGGGAAGGCACATCACAGACAGACAGAAAAATCAAAGGTTTGATAAAACTTGGTGTCATTCAAGTGATATCCACAGACATTTGAAAGGTGCTCTGCTCACATGGACAACGTGGAGGAAATTCAAGGACGATGGTCATGACAGCCTCCATCCTCTTTCAGCACCTTCTTCCCTTGGAAAGTCCTCTCTCTGACATTCACGGCCTCAACCACCATCCATCTCCAGTGCTGTTCCCCCACCCCGGAAGTGCCTCCCATATAATTCTGTCCCGCTTCACTAAATCCCTGGACTGCTTTTTTTTTTTTTTTTTTTTAATTAGAAAAGGAATTTTAAAATTCATTTTTCCCCACAGCTGTTTAGTCCTTCAAAATATTAGTTACTAAATCAAAACTGATGAAATAATTTATGATTTATATGCTATTGGGTGATAATGACTTAATAAATTAATACTGTCAGAGAACTTTTGAAATTTACCCTAACAATAACTAATGGAATTTTCTAGCTCCCTGGGAGGGTGGTACGGTGGAGATGTTTAGTGCTTCCTCTCATCCCATTCTCCTCTCTTTTTGGAAAGGGTCATGTGCCTGTGGTCTGTGTGTCACATGTAGACCAAGGCATTTAATTGCCAGTGAGTGACCCTCCAGTATGCTCCCTCTCTGCTATGACAATGGTGAAGTTTTTTTGTTGAAATGAAGGTGTTGTTAGGTTAAAGCAGCCTGCATCACTGAGCCACCATGTGGAGGCAAGTATCTTAGAGAATCATTCCAGGCTACAATGGACTTTGGATGAAACAGTAATAAAATTCCTTTATGTTAACCCACCAACATTTTTTGGTCATTTTTTATAGCAACATAATCTAGCATATTCTGACAGATAAAGCTAGTAATTTTTGATCACTTCAAATCACAATCCACAGTTTGATTCTGATAAAAGACAAAATTACTAAAAATTACTTAATTAACCAATCAAGATCTACATAACTAGATTTGTTGTGTAGATCTTAATTGGCTTTAATTTGCCATTCTAAAATTGGGCAGCATGTCAGACCAAAAATGCTCTGCCTCACCACATGTGCAGGTTGTATTTCTCTCCAGAGAAAAGGCAGTGACATACAAAAAAATGGAAGTGAGGTACAGAGGCAGACTGATTGGTTACAGCTTGTGTCTGTCTTATTTGAACCTAGTTTGAACAGTTGGCAGCCATGATTGGCTAAAGCTCAGCTGCTGTAATTGGCTGAGAACAGTTTGGCAGCTGTGATTGGCTGAAGTTCAGCTGCTGTAACTGGCTGAGACTCAGCTATATGTTACAAAGGCAAATTCCTAAATTAGGTTTTCAATTTGTTTACATACTAAATTAGGTTGTAGTTCATTACGTAAGACTTGGAGAAGGCTTCTTAAGCCCAAATTTAGTTTAACAGTTCCTGTCTACTGTTAGGAGAAACGTGCTCTGCTTATTAGCTGTGTGGCTTTGGACGAGTTATTATACTCCCCAGAATGAGTCTATGTCTTCCTCTGTAGGTAGCTGGTCCTTTTCAGCTATAAGATTCCACTTAACTGGCAATCCAAAATTACATGGTATCTGCTCCCTAAAAATAACTATTGTATGCAAAGACCAAGCAATTTGTCCCCAAACAAGCAGAGATGTTTAACCCAAGCCAAATACTTTTTACCTGTCATCTCTCTGAACAGGAGGGTCAGGATCCCAGGTTGCCAGTAAAAAAAGCACATGTTTTAAAAGGTCTGAGATTGAACTAAGAGGCCACACGACATCTCATTATCCTCTAGAATTGGTCATTCTGCGCCTCTGAGTTATCAAGATTTATCAAATTAGAGCTGTTCAATTTGGGAATCAGGTAGCCTTTCTCAAAGTTTGTTTTTTGTCTTTGGGGAAAGTATCCGTTAATGTATGAAGACAAGAGGGTCACATGTGAAACAATGGTTCACAGCCCTTTTAACATATCTCTTCAAAGCAAAAGCTTTTCTTGGATGTATGTGTGGTGTGTGTGTGTGTGTGTGTGCGCTTGCCTGTGCACACGTGTGTCTGGTACTATTAGCACCCACTGATCTAAAAATGCAGTATTAGAAAAACTATTTTAGTGAATTGTTATTTATATATTTGAAAAATAGCACACATATTATTCAATATATTTAGACATATTATGTATTCAGGCTACAGGCAATGTTGGGCATGTGTGTATATTTGCAGATCTCTTGCAGTAACTCTGAGACTTCCCAGAGGCTATTCATAGCCACAGGCTGGGAATAGTATACTTCAGGAGTCTAGGAGCATACTGCAACCTATATTTGGTTGTCACTTCCTTTCCCTCATCCCCAGCCTCTTGTTCTCAGGGAAGCAGACGCTAAGGCAGAATTACGAGTGCATAAGGCTTTGGGGGGAGTAGCAATTATGAAAGGAATTGGGAGGAAATAGGATTGGGCATGGGAGAGCCATGCGATCATGATACAGTCTTTATTAGACTAACCTGCCTAATTACCTTTTGGAGCCAAGTTCCCACCGGACAGAAATAGTCAAGCCCTCCCTTCATGTCCCTGCTCAGTCATGGGGCCATTCTGAACAGAGTATGAGATGGGCTCAAAAATTGCTAATAGGTACACTGTCTGCTGACTACCCTCTTAGTAGCTGCACAGTGAGACCTTTCTTGAAGAGAAGTGATATATCTCCATCTGCCATACCCAACATTTCCCCCTAATGCTATAAGGTAATTTTGCCCCTTAAGGTTATTCATGAAGACAACATAACTTTACAAATGATAGTGTAATGTGCTTTTGGGAAACAGGCCATCTCTAAACCAGCAAAATAAGAAATAAAATCATAGCCAAACATGAGCCTAATTGCATTGGCCAGTGGGCAAAGTGCTCCTAGGATATGGGATTGCATTTAGTTTAAGCAGACTCTCCTTCTGCAGAGGGAGCTATCTGAAATCAGAAATAAGATCAGAAAAATGTTTGCTGCAGGGATCTGGTTATACTGTGCAATGCACATGGTCATGAGTATTGACTGTTCACTGCAGGGAAGTAAACTGTGCAAGAAAAATGAAGCAATAAGGGAAAACAGGAAATGGCATGGGGAAAACAGGTTCTTTTAGGAAGAGGAATCCATTCCAAGTGTCAGACCCAAGCAGCTACAATCCTTTCTCTTAGCCTGGGCTGCGACGGTGAACAGGTGTTTAGCATGTGCCATGAAGAACAGCTAGAATGAATACAGCTAGTGAGAAATTCTATAAGATTTAATTGAAGAAAGGGGAGGGGGGATGTGTTGTTAGTCCAATTTCAATCACTGAACCAGCCACTCTCCAAGGATGCATCTTTCAGTAGTTTCCACAGTGGTTTCCAAACAGGAGTTTACACTGACCACAGACAGCAGAGGAGACAGCAAATGAAAGGGGAACCCTGGAGGACTGGACCATCCGAACCCTGCCTCTAGCCCTCCTGCAAAAGAGTAGCCCATCTTGATCTGTTTTACATGGTAAGATTTTGTGTAAGGTTACATCAAATAAAAGGTTAACAGAAATAAATGAGCCTGATAACTACAGTTTCCTAGTCTCACCTAAACCTGCTGGAATAGAATCTCTTATGAATTTGTATTTCTAAAAAAGCTTCTTAGCTTTTTTAGAAAAGCTGATAGAAGAATGGCTAGACAGATGACATATGGCAGATGTGATAGAGAGGTGGGGGACAGAGAGAGAGACAGAGAAGGCATGAGTAGATAGATAATATTCATTTACCAATATACTAATAAACATATACACAACATATACACAAAATAGATACACAACATATACACAAAAATAGAAAATGTAAAAGGATAGCTTAAAAAATAAATATAATAGAAGCTCTAGTATTTTCTCTTGTGTCCAAGGGATCATCTTGATTTTCCCTAATGTAGGCACAGCTTACATTAGAGGATTCTCACGGTATTGAATGTGATAGAAATAATACATGGAAATAAGGGAATGACCTACCATGACTTGCAGATGTAAATCCATCTCACTGATTTTTAGTGGCTTCTGAGCCACTGAGATAGTGGCACTCCCCATCCTAGCCTATTTCTTCTTCTGTGCTAGGGGTAGAGGAAGCGGGTAGAAAGGATAGCAATTGTAGTTGATTACTACAAGCTGAGAAGAGGGTACTTGTTTTTCTTTTCCCAACAAGATGATTCTTTCTCCCACTTCCCTTTAAGCACACATAAAATCTAACATAAGCACAGTTGAAATTCCAACGATGAGCTCCGTTTAATTCCCAATGTTTGGAATAATGAGTGGAATAGCAGATGCTTTAGTTGGTGAAATGCCCTATAGCTCAACTCTGAATGTCAATCATGGAAACAAGTCACTTATATGTGGGAGAATAACTAGTGAAGGACCAGTTTGAGGGGCATTCACACTGAGCAAGGTGAGCGGATATCAACCAAGGAGATTTCAAGGCTTGAGCAAGTAAAAGCAAAGATCGCCAACACCCTGTGGCATTTGAAGGCATGAGACAGACACCAGATGTGTTTGTGTCGCTCCTGTGACTCAGCTTCTATTTCAGCTACTGATAAATAAAGGACCATTTCCAGGTATGCTATGTTTGGTTAAGCCCTAAACTTGGACATAAGTATAGCCCTAAGGTTACCGAAACTACATTGCTTTAAACCACAATTATTTCACGTGTTGAGCTGAAAAGAAATTAAAATTAGAAGCATGAAAAAAATGAAATGAATGTCTCTGGGTTCCCTATGCAATCTTCAAATCTCCCTTCACTATCGACACGGCACTGAGTTCTGCTTCCGCTTTGATGGCTCCTTCTGCCTCAGAGACCCGCTTTCGGTACTATGTGTTTTCCCCAATGTGTTTTCCCACTTTTCATTCATTCACATTCTCTCTCTCTCCCACTGCTTTCCTCCAAATACCCATATGCCAATCTGTCTTTCCAACTCCACCCCCAGATACATGTACAGACTTTGCCCCAAAGACTCCCCAGTGAGCAATATCTTTTTCTGGGGATGGTAAGCACTGACTCATTGCCTCCTTCTTACCACAGTTTCCAAAACACAGTCTTATTTCACTCTTGTCTCTATGCAGATCTCGGTAGGTCGGGGCCACGATGTACATAAACAGACTCTTGATGGGTGATTCCCTCCTCATCTTTCGATCTCTCACTCTCTAGCCCTCTTCTGTTTTTATTTTTTTATTATTTTTAATTTTTGAGAGTACATAAAAGATGTATATATTTATGGGGTACATGAGATATTTTGATGCAGGAATGCAATGTGAAATAAGCACATCATGAAAAATGGGGTTTCCATCCCCTCAAGCATTTATCCACTGAATTGCAAACAACCCAATTACACTCTTTAAGTTATTTTAAAATGTACAGTTATCATTAAGTGCAGTCGCCTTTTGTACTATCAAATAGAAAATCTTATTCATTCTGTTTTTTGGTACCCATAATCCTCTTCTGATGCTTATCCTCCAAAAAATTCTGAAGAAAGCAGAGTTTAAGGAACTAGAATCCTTAGAATTTGTTTTTTTTTTTTCTGCATCTGAAAATTTTGGTCAACAAAGGAAAACATACTTCTGCTACTAAAATACAGACTCCAAGACTCCTAGAGAAATGGCATTGACAAAAACAGACAATAGTGCAGTCAATTCCATCTTACCTTCACCTGGGCAGGGAAAATATAACCTAAGGAGGAGCCAGGACTTTTCTAGGAATCAAGTAACTGGCATGGTTCTCCCAGGCTCAGTGAGAAGCAGCAAGAGATTTAAATGTGGGTAGCTGAAAAGGAGCTAGGTAATTCATGTCCTTGAATAGGCAGCATGTGAAGGTTTTCAAAATTTTATGTTAAGTGTAAACATATTTATTCCTCTATCAGGTCCATGCCAAGCAGTACCTTTAGGATATGGTGGGGTAAGAGTTACTCATTTGAGGATGACGTTACAAATGAGATAGGTGATATTCAGCAAAATCAATCAGATTATCGTCTTTGGTTGTTTTCATTGGGTCTTCCTACCTGCAGACACTCTCTTTTCTCTGATTAATTCTTTTAATCTTTCCCCATCTGCAAAATCATTCTTGGTGACTCAGAATTAGCTTGGGATGCTCCCCCATATCCTGCCTCTTTGAACAAGACTGAGCCAGTTCCCTGTCAATTTCCAGCACTGACCCCAGAACACTCTCAGGTTTTATCTCTACCAAGATGTGCATGGCTCTGTGACTCGGGAAGCATTATGGCAACCTTTGCCTTTAAAACTTCACAAAGCTGTTGATGGTTCTGCAGCAGCCTTCCTGAAGGAATTTATTGAGGATTTTTTTGGCCCGCCACACCTTCATTTTCCAGAAGAGGAAATTCCTTCTTGTTTTCCAGAACTTCCCTATGTCTTGGTTTAGATTTTAGAAAAAAATGTTGTCTATAGCATTTAGCAAAGGATTCTCATCTAAGAGAATTGTAACGCCACTGAAATAAAACAAAATGAACAACAAAATAGGGTATATGGGACAGTCCCCTGTGAGCAAAGTAGAGACATTTCAACTGAAATGATGCTGATGGGGCTATGGCTAGGACGGGGCCCCTGGTGGCAGTTTGCTTATTGAGTTACCAGGTCTCAAAGAAGGACTTGCATTCCATGTGGCCTCCACATGGCTTCCAGATAGTGCACTGCAGATCAACTAAGGTTCTTTATCAACGTGTTCCATCATATTTGGGAACTAGCTTCTGACTCTGGGTAGTTTCCCAGCAGTACAGAAGCCTGTTTCAGGGTTGACCCATAAATACTACATAAGCCCAGTGCTAGACAGTCCTTCTGATCCAAGGAACCAGAGACAAATCAATCCCTTTTCTGATGCCTTTTTTCCAGAACCTTTGAAGGATGCAGACCTTAAGGAATCAGGACTTCCAGGATCCAATTTTCTTGTGCATCTCAAGACATTTATCAGATAAAGAAGGAGCATTTTTTGCTGTTCAGTGAGATTCCAGGGCACTTAGTCAAATAGCACCATAAAAACAAAAGGTATTATGTACCATTATTTCCAACTTACGTTCACTACACGGGCAGGAAACTCAAAGACAAGACAAACTTTCTCTGAAGAAAGATTTTATTCATCACTCAATTAATATGATTTGTATAGTCCTGTAGACCTGACAATAAACAGTCACCAATGCCCACAATTCCTCCTATCTCCTTGAAGAGCATTGGTCATACAAGCACCTCTCCAACCTTTTTTTTTTTCCCTAAAACCAGTTACTTACGTACACCATTGAGACTTTCTAGGGTTCCATTTAGAAGAGTCCTGAGAAGGAGTAATTCATCTCACCCACATGGTATGATCTAGATTCTTTAAACACAAGCAACAGAAATCAACTCTAGATTAACTGAAGCAGGAAATAAATCTATTGGAAGAATTCAGAGAAGTTCACAGAATAGACAGGAAGGCAGGAGAGCGAGGCTTGGAAAAATGCAAGAGCTGAGCTGCTCTAGGGAGTTAGGGAATAGCAAACACGATCAAGATCGTGTGTTAAGAAGAACATGTCTAAAACATGTTGAGGATGCTGCCAGTGCCACAGCCATTATCTCCTGCTGCTGTCACCACCATTACTGATGTGCCACTATTGCTGCAATGATCCTATTTCCATGTATACCTGCAGCCTTGTGTCACATTGAAAAGATTCCAAGTCCTACATATCCAAGTATCTGATTGGCTAAGCACAGGTCACTAACCAACACTGCCAGAATTCAGGAGAAGAGACAAGTTTCCTCTTCCCAACTTCTATACCAGGAAATAGGGCACTGGGTTTTACCAACACAAAACACAATAGGGTAGGAAAATCTCCCCACATAGAAGGAGTAGAATGGTGGACAGCCAAAAATAGAAAGGGGAGGGAACATCCATCACATATTTCAGTTTTGTCCAAAAAAGTCAAACCTGTAGTTCATTCCTTAGACAACTGTATCCAAATCCTATTCCTTTTTGCTCAAAGGATCCAGTTTTGATCTGTAGAGTCTATCCTTCTCACATGATTTGGTTTTCTTTGGCAAATTCTGTCACATTAAATACATTGTTTGTGGTCACATCTATTTATTCCCTGATAAATAGGAATATGTGTCTATTTCTTCCAAGAAAGATTTGAGGTGGCTCACAAATTTTAATATTCTGAAAAATGAAAACAGATTGTAGCAATGGGAAATGCCCTTGTACTCTGTGTGATGGCTGCTTCTCAGTGTTTCTAGGATAGAGGAGCCCAACAAAGAGGATGGAAGTTGCCTGGGCTTTTGTATTCTCTTGGTGGTCAAAGGGGCGTGCTGTGCTGATGGGTAAGCCTTTAGGCAATGAGCTGTTGGGTTGGTTGGGTCTACAGATATTGGGAATAGCCAATGTGTGTTCAGGAGAAGCAAGAACTATGCTAGTAAAGGGGTCTACAGTCAAGCTAGGGGTTGGCAAGATGACTAAGGGGGAACCACAAATGGACAGGCTGGAGGAGGAACCCAAGCAGGCTGGCTGGTGGTTGATAAGTCATGGCTGAAACCAAAGAAACTAAAGGGTGAACTGAGGTCAGAGGACAAGGCTGGGATTTCACCTAGAATATACGACTTTTGCTGACAATCGCTTCTGCCAAGTGCTGCCTCTTAGAAAGGCAGCTGGAAGTCATCCTTCCAAGGCTTGACAGAACCCAGAACACCCAGAATGGCAGCTGTGAATCTTCCCTACGTATTCCTCTTTAACCAGAAAAAAACAATCAAATGCTGTTTTGAAATGGACCTTCCAGACATGGAAGTGTGATCAAAAGAGACCTGGCTTTTGTCTGAATCCAGTTTTCTTTTCTTTCTTTTTTTTCCTGTCTTTTTTTATTTCAGACATCAGTGTTACTTGTCAATAAATCCAGCTTTTCTATCAACTAGTTGTGTGACACTGGGCAAGTCAGATTTCTCACGGCCTCAATTTCCTTCTATAAAATGAGAAGGTTGGGCTAAATATTGCCTAAAGACTCTTTGAGCTTTAGAAATGACTAGACCACTTCTAGTTGCACACGTGTTCATGCACATACGCATGCAGACACAAACACATCAGGGTGATTCTAGAATTATCTCCAGGGAGAAAGTCACAGAACATGATTCTTGCTGTGCATCTCCTTTTCCCCTGAAGCTGGTTCTGGGAGACAGGAACTTCCTCAAAAACCACAGCTGTTGAAATGGCCCCAAGGGAGTTATACTTAATTCCTGTTTCCTCACATCCTGAATGTGAAGCCTAGAAGAACTGATAATGGGGTTAGTTCCGCCATATTGCAACCACCAACTGAAAGGGGGAAAACCATGCTACCCAGTGACTTACTCAGTAGTGGATAACTGTAGCCAGAAATAACAAGTCTGGCCAGTTCATAGCTCAAGAATGCATAGTGGCAGCCCAACAAGGATTTCCCTTTTTCCAAGACAAACCATGTCAGCTCTGATTAAACTCCTGATTATGGCTAAATCCCTCTCCTTTACTCATATTATTCTTCCCAAGATTGCGTTCCATCATCAGGTGTTGATTTGGGAAATCTTTGAAATTATTCAACCACTCTAAGTGACATGCAATTAGCAGCCTCTTCAATGAGTGATTTACTGCCTTTATGCACCAGGCACTGTGCAAATTGTCAGAGACCCCACAGTGAACAAGCCCTGTGGGACTTACAGTCTAATATGGTAGATGGAAAACATGCAAATGGGCACAAATGCATATATAAATACAATGAAGAGTATGAAAAAGGAAACCGGGTACTGGGTATGATGGAGAATAATGGGGTGAGGGCAGGTGGGAACTTACTTGCATTGGGTGATCCGAGAAAGTCTCTCCATGAAGGTGATGTTAAAGCTGAGATCTGAAGAATGATAAGGAGCCAGTTTTGTGACATGCAGGATGGGGTAGAAGTAGTATGTAGAATGTGTGTGTGTGTGTGTGTGTGTGTGTGCACGCACTCATGCACGCACACATGCACATTGAGGAGAAGGAGAAGAGACAGATTTTCTGCCACAGGGAAGAACAAGTTGGTAGAAAGCTCAACTGACTCCAGAGCTGAAAGAACTCCCATATGGGTTAAGCAAAAAGGAAGATACTATAAGATGAGACTGAGTTTGGCAGAGGCCAGATCACACAAAGCCTTTGTAAAAATCGGTATTTTCCCTACATTTTTAATAAATCTGATAGGAAAGTATTAAGGCATTTTAGATAGATAGAGGAATAACATAATCTTATTTCCATTTGCTGCTTGCTTTGTGGACAATTAAAAAAAAGAAATAAAAGTGGAAGCAAGAGGACAGGTAAGAGATTAGTGTAGTTCAGGCAAAAGTTAATGACGTCTCAGACTAGGTTAGTTATTCTCAGTTCCTAGGGGACACTTGGCAATGTCTGGAGATGTTTTGATGATCACAGATGCTACCAACATCAGCTAGGTAGAGGCCAGGGATACTGCTAAATATCCTAAAATACACACACCAAATAACTATCCAGCCCAAAGTGTCAACAGTGCCAAGGTCAAAAAACTCTGGACTCAGCGATGGCAGGAGAAATGGAAAGAAGCAATTGAATTCAAGATACACTGCGAGGCTGAAAGGACCAGGAATTCTGAATAGATTACATGCGAAAGTAAAGGAAACAAAGAACCTGAAGATGGCTTTCAGATTTCTGTCTAAAGTAACATCTCATAAGATTATATTGGAAGGATATATAAAACAATTTCTGTCTAGTAGATAGATTTTAGTTCTCAATCTACTGCTTATCAATTGTAGGTTGCAAGATACAAAACTATGTATTTATACCTCCATTTTCCCATCTATAAAATGGGGATGACAATGAATCTACTTCAAAGTATGTGATAAGTATCTATTATCCAATCACGTAAAGTGCTTCAAATAGGCCTGGAATGTAGCATATCACTTACTTTTGTTGTTCTTTACTATTGTTATTATTAGAGTGAGGATGTCATTACAGCTATCAAGGTTGGATACATGAATTTGAGAGTGGTCAGATGGCATTTAAATCTTTGAGATGAGTGTATAGACAGAGGAGACAAATTGTCCGGCACTGAACCTTGGGTACTCTACTGTTAGGATACTGAGGTAATGAGAAGAAACAGCCTAGGGGACTGAGCAGGATTAGACAGTTAGGTGAGAGAAAAGTCAACAGAAGAAAGCATTTTGAGGAAGGTTGAGTAAGAAGAGTATCTCTTGAATTTCCAGGTCCTGGGTAACTCCAACAAAAGCAATTTCAGTTAAGAAGTGGAGATGGAAGTCAGTCTGAAATGAGTTGAGGATTAAATGGGAGAAAACATGGAAACAGAATATGTGGGAGCTTTTTATGAATTTTGGCTAAGAAGAGTAGAACAGGTGGAGGACTGTTCAGTTAATAAGGGATGAAACTTTTTGTTTTGCTTTTTAGAGAAATACCATTACATAATATTTACATTCTGATGAGAATATTGTAGTAGAAAGGAAACATTTATAGCTATCAGAGGGAAAGAAGGCGGTAAGACATCAAAGTCTTTGAGAGGACAGGAGGAGATAAGAGAGGCTAGCCTCTGGTGGGAAGAGGAGCACTTTGTGCTTTGCAACAGGAGGCAAGTAGCAGATCAGTGCCACATAGAGAGGTTTGTTGTTTTTGTATTAGGGAAATGGAGGTGATACATGTCTGGCCACTTTTATTTTCTTAGTGAGGTTTGGGGAAAAGTGCCCCCAGAGGTAAGTGGAAGAAAGCAGGATGTGTTTTGGGTACAAATAGTCACCTTGAAACTGGAAAGGCTAGATTTCTAGAGAAAAATGGTAGGATTGTTAGACATCTTTTGAGACTGATGATCATGAATGCTATGTGAAACCAATGAACTTCATTCTTTGGTTTTCTCTTGCAATGTCCAATTGTTCAGAAGGTAGAGAAGAAATAATTCTCCTCTCATTCTCTTTGACAATGGAATTTGGCCTTGAGAGGAAGACAGATGTTTAAGTCCTCAGAGAATGAGGTGTGACCAGCAGACTGAGGATTGAGGGCAGAAAGGAAAGAGGGTACCGGTAGCAAGGAAGTATACATTCTGAAGGGGCAGGAGGGACGCGGAATGAGATCTGGCACCTCCTCCACTTCCTGAACCTGAAGTATGTGAGGTGTGAGCAAATAAAGAGCCTCTAATCATGAGACTTGGAAGTCAAGTGGCGGACCCAGGCGCTGCCAGGTCCTCATTAGGGCAATGAGATGGAGTTCAGAGAAGAGGTCATGCCATCTTCAATCCCCATTGGTGCAAGGCAAAGTCTGTTCCACTATACAAGGTCAAGCCTGCGTGGTTAGAGCTTCTCTTATTCCCACTCCTCCATTCCCTAATTTTAGTGCAGGGGGAGGATTTTCAAAAATTTTCAGACTAAAAACAACGATTGAGCAAGCTAATTAAGTGGTATGAGTGGTTTCAACAAAACCCCACACTTAGCGGCCAACATGGATTAAGGTGGAGGCTGCTTTTAGGTAATCCACATTGTTTTTCAAGCATCCCCTCCAGCAGTCAGGCTCAAAACACATGTTAAAGTTTTGTTTTAAGTACTCTTGGTTCAAAACACCTTTATAGACATTATCAGAAAAAGAGAAGTTGTCCAACTAACCCCAAGTTTGCTATGCCCTTTTAAATCTGATCCTCATCCTTACATATCGCAGATACTCCAAAGCTTTTCATAGCAAGTGTCCAAGACCAGGGATAGCACTGTCATAATAGTTAACATATGTTGAGTGACGACTGTGTCCCAGGCATTGTTCTAGGCAACGTTCCTATATAATTCTATTTAATGTTCAGAAAACCTTTATGAGTTTTTACCCATTTTTCAAGCTGGGAAAATGAGACAATGAAGAGTCAAGTGACTTGTCCAATGTCACCAGCTATAAGGGGCAGCGATAAGACCATCTGCAGTTTGCACTTGTAAGCATTTGGCTATACTGCTGTAGACTGCAAATATGCAGCACTCATACATTTACTCTCCTTTCCTCATCCAGAGCAGACACCACTGGCCATTTACACAACAATCCTACCAAGCTTAATCACTAATCCATTGATCTGTGAATTCCTACAAGTTGATGAGTGTGAGCACTAGAATGGAAATCTCTTTGCAGTTCCCTAGACCCTCCTTCTTTGCTTTCTGTTCTGCCTCAAACCTTGTCTCTGCTCTACTCCAAAGACTGATTCTACTCTCACTCTGGGCCTCCACACTTGATGTCCTGGTCTCTTCCCAAGTTTGACTCAGGCTAAGATTTAGCCCCAGGCCCCTCTTGCCCTTTTCCTGGTTCACTCGTCATCACATGCCTATCATGAGCTGGCTCTGTGATTCAGTCAGTGTTGATTTGTATCTGAGATGCAGAGATAATGTAGTAGCAATAGGCAGGACAGAAAAGCAAGCCTCCATAACAAACTCATTTGAAGAATCCTAAGCTTTGCACCATCAATACAAATTTCTGTGTGAAAACCATAAAGACAGAACTAACTTTACATGTTGAATCCATCGAGTCAAGTAAACTTTTAAAAGAAAATTTTAAAAAGAAAGAAAAAGAACTTTAGATGTGGTGTCAAATTCAAAAGATCTTATAGTTGGAGATATACCACTGAATGATTCTGTCAACGTCCTTTAAAATGGCAAAAAAAAAAAAAAAAGCCACCTCAATTTTAATCAACTGAATCATGAACACAAGGAAATTTTTTAATTTTGGAGGAATACTTACTATTTGTTGGGCATCAAAGATGCTAGATGGAGGGTTGAAAAGCTATAGGTTCTAACTAGCTGTGCAATACTGGAAAATCACAGTCTTTCTGAGCTATAGTTGGTCTGTGAAATGTAGTGGTTAAATTTAGGGCCTCTCAGTCCTCTTGCAGTCCCAAAGTTCTGGGTCAATGCAGTTTTTATTTCAGAAGCTCTTGTCCTTATCTGCTTTGTCTTCGAGGAGTCACTAGAGGTGCCCCAAATGGACTTGCAAGGGTCCTGTTCATTTCCACAGGTGGGAACCACGTAGAATCCTATGTTACTTTCCTTCTCTGCTCTGCCCACTATTTTGCCCACTGCTGTTCCCTGTGGGGTGCCTGGAGAGCTGGTTTTGTGGGGTCTAAAGTCTATTACCCATCATTACCACCACAGCCATTGGGCATTATGGGACATTAACATCCTCAGGATGCCAAAGCTCTTTTAGGGATTGTACGCTGTAGTGTTGGAACCTGAAGCAGGGTTGCCAAGCTCTGCCAAAGACCATTTGCTCAGAGGCACATTTGAGATGCTGTGACAACTTTCAGGGGCACCACTGAAATTCTTGATGACTTGTCAGTCTCTTCTCTATTTCCGCCCAGAACACCACGGGCTGCCTAAACACCCAAGTCCCACAAAATATAGGACTGGTCTAATGTGTCCCTGGAAACTATTGAGACAAACCCATTATCTGAGAAGCCAGGACGAGTTATAATTAGAAGCCTGATGAGTCAGAGCTCATGGGCACTAGCTCAGAAGCCCTCACTCATAAGATGACACATCAGCTTGACGTCCGCTGGAGCTCATCCTGGGCGTCAGAATTCAGCCTCGTACAAGGATGGAAGGAATCGGCTGGAGAGGTGGGAGAGTCGCTGAGCACAAGGACAGGCCTGCTGGGCCCAGCCTCTCGCCAGGAACACAGAGCATCTCACACAGGAAGCCCAGGCAAACTGATACAAAATTTCACTAGAAAAAAAAAAATTCCTTTTACCACACACAATTTCTCTTTAATTTTTCTTAAGGTGCTGCAGTTGCTAATTTAAGCCTTTCACATAATTTCCCAATATTGACTTAAATTTATGATCTTTACCACACATCCTCCCCAGCCTGGTGGATTCAGAAAGAGTAAGGGGGTTAAAATCCTATCTCCATTACCTACTGGCTTTGTGACTATGATAAATCCTGTCAAATTTTCCAAACCTTAGTCCCCTTATTTATAAAATGGGTTTTTTATGAGGATGAAAAAATAATAATACATGCAAAGCACCTGGCATACGATCTGCACAATTCATGATCAATAAATGTCAGTTTCCTTCCTTCCTGGTAGAAGTCATCAGATGGTACTAACTCTAGGTTTTCTGTCTGACACAGAACACACCCTTCAAAGTGCTAATGCTGTTCCAGCTCAGCAGACACCTCGTCTCGGGAAAGCCATTAGAAACCCCCAAAATACTACATTTTTCTCCTGGTAAGTAGCTCACTTCCCACAACCACTTTGCATAAAGTGAGCTCAACAAATGAGTCACGCTGCTTGCAGAAGCAAATTCGGGAACCACACCCAAAACAGAGGCATCTTGACTTTTCCCAAGAAGCTGTCATTATCACCAGAAAGAGGGTTTGGGGGACCTATAGTTAGAAAACCTCAAACTCCCAAGCTACCTCTGAATTCATGTGCAAACCTAAGAGCTCATTTTTTTTTCAAGGATTTTTTTTTTTATCCACAGCATTCAGTGACAGCTGAGAGTCACTGGCCATTTATGATTATTTACTTTTTGAAAACTTCTATCATAGCATTTAAATTATAATTATGATTTTCAAGAAAAATTTCAAGAATTTATTCATTGCATAAAAATAGACACAATTTCATTTAGACCAACCCTTTCTGACCTGCAGGCTGCAGGATAAAGTAGACAGTGCATGGGATTATAGTCAGAAGACCAGGATCCAAGTGATGGTTTTGCCACTTACTGAATGATTTAGGGCAAGCTTCTGAGACTCAGAGGTTTATCCATAAAGTGGAAAGAACTATATATATTGTATGATTCAGAAATAATGAAATATATGAAAGTACATGGAAAACTTAATGCAATACAAAACGTTAGATTTTTTTAAAAAGTAATCTTTAATCCTTTATATTTACCCAATAGTCCTGGTACTAATTTTTTTGAATTAATTTTGTTGGCTCATTTCTGCATCCTTCTAAATTAATGTATATATTTTAAAGCTATTGGCTTTCAAAATGAATGGAAAACTCTGCATTCATGATTGATTGGCTAGAATAAAGACTGTTAAATAGTTTTGAATGATTATATGTCTAAAAATTTTGTTTTCCAATGTGAGATACCTTGTTTGCCAAAATGTCCACATTGTTCCCTTCTCAGTACAGAGCTCTTTTTAATGCTACTGTGCAACTCTTCCCCATTCTTTGAATCTGGGCTGGTTTGTGACCTGCTTAGGCCACTATAATGGCACAAAATTGACGCTGTGACAGTTCTGAGTCTTGGCATCAAGGGGCTGTGCACTTCCAATCTTACTCTCAGAATCTTGCCAATGCCACATGGATGAGTCTGGGCTAGCTTCTGGTTGATGAGAAACATATAACCTCATTACCAGAGACTTTAAACCCACTCAATAAATAGCTAATAGCCATACATGTGAGTGAGGCCATCTCAGATCAGGCAGCACCAGGTTGACCTATCAGCTGAGCACAAACACATGACTGAGCCCAGCCAAGATCAACTGGGTCAGACCCTAAGAATCAGCACCATCCCCTCATTTGTGAGTAATGATTGTTTAAGCTACTATATATTTTTTTTTAACACAGCAACAGATTGACTGATATACAAGGTTTCTATATCATTAAAAAATGAACTCCTCATAACATGCCAGACTAAGGTAACAGAAATGGGGTCCCTCCCTTTATAAACCTAAAGAAATGCTGGCTGAAATACATGGCCAAGTTCAAGAGACATAAAGGAAATCTCCAACGGCAAAATAAAGAGAACTCAAACATACTATATGGCAGTAAGCAAAAGCGGATATTGTCGCCTGTGGGCACATAACTTTGCACATGGTTATAGGCATTAGTGACTGGGGGACAAAGTTTTTTTTATTGTTATTATACTTTAAGTTCTGGGTTACATGTGCAGAACGTGCAGTTTTGTTACATAGGTATACACGTGCCATGGTGGTTTGCTGCACTCATCAACCCATCACCTACGTTAGGTATTTCTCCTAATGTTAAACCTCCCCTACCCCCCCACGCCCCACAGGCCCCTGTATGTGATGTCCCCCTCCCTGTGTCCATGTGTTCTCATTGTTCAACTCCCACTTATGAGTGAGAACACGCAGTGTTTGGTTTTCTGATCTTGTGATAATTTGCTGAGAATGATGGTTTCCAGCTGCATCCATGTCCTTGCAAAGGACATGAACTCACCCTTTTTTATGGCTGCATAGTATTCCATGGTGCATATGTGCCACATTTTCTTAATCCAGTCTATTATTGATGGACATTTAGGTTGGTTCCAAGTCTTTGCTATTGTGAATAGTGCCACAATGAACGTACGTGTGCATGTGTCTTTACAGTAGCATGATTTATAACCCTTTGGGTATATGCCCAGTAATGGAAGTGCTGGGTCAAATGGTATTTCTAGTTCTAGATCCATGAGGTATCGCCACTCTGTCTTCCACAATGGCTGAACTAATTTACACTCCCACCAACAGTGTAAAAGCATTCCTATTTTTCCACAACCTCTCCAGCATCTGCTGTTGCCTGACTTTTTAATGATCGCCATTCTAACTGGTGTGAGATTGTATGTCATTGTGGTTTTGATTTGCATTTCTCTAATGACTATTGAGGATGAGCATTTTTTCATATGCCTGTTGGCTGCATAAATGTCTTCTTTTGAGAAGTGTCTGTTCATATCCTTTGCCCATTTTTTGATGGGGTTGTTTGCGTTTTTCTTGTAACTTTGTTTTTAGTTCTTTGTAGATTCTGGATATTAGACCTTTGTCAGATGGATAGATTGCAAAAATTTTCTCCCACTCTGTAGGTTGCCTGTTCACTCTGATGATAGTTTCTTTTGCTGTGCAGAAGCTCTTTAGTTTAATCATTTATCAATTTTGGCTTTTGTTGCCATTGCTTTCAGTGTTTTAGACATAAAGTCTTTGCCCATGCCTATGTCCTGAATGATATTGCCCAGGTTTTCTTCCAGGATTTTTATGGTCCTAGGTCTTATGTTTAAGTCTTTGATCCATCTTGAATTGATTTTTGTATAAGGTGTAAGGAAGGGGTCCAGTTTCAGTTTTCTGCATATGGCTAGCCAGTTTTCCCAACACCATTTATTAAATAGGGAATCTTTTCCCCATTGCTTGCGTGTCTTAGGTTTGTCAAAGATCAGATGGTCGTAGATGTGTGGTGTTATTTCTGAGGTCTCCGTTCTGTTCCATTGGTCTATATAGCTGTTTTGGCACCAGTACCATGCTGTTTTGGCACCAGTACCATGCTGTTTTGATTATTGTAGCCTTGTAGTAATGTTTGAAGTCAGATAGCGTGATGCCTCCAGCTTTGTTCTTCTTGCCCAGGATTGTCTTGGCTATGCAGGCTCTTTTTTTGTTCCATATGAAGTTTAAAGTAGTTTTTTCCAATTCTGTGAAGAAAGTCAGTGGTAGCTTGATGGGGATAGCATTGAATCTATAAATTACTTTGGGCAGTAATGCCATTTTCATGATACTGATTTTTCTATCCATGAGTATGGAATGCAAGAACAAACAAACAAAACCTTTCTAATGTCAAAGCATTTTCCCTTTCATATCTTTCTTTAATGGTATATTTGCAGCTGTTTCCTGTTAATCCTTTGTCTGTCTGACTTCCTTCTTTAGGGTGATGGGATCCTTAAGACAAGCACAGAGTATGTCCTGCTGTGGTGTCCTGCAGGACAGGCCACACTCTGGCCCATTAACGGTGTTTGATGTGACGATGCACATGAGCCCATGGAGGTCTGTGCCTCAGGCCCCGTGGGTGTTTGCAGGTTGAAGATGGAATGATACACGCCATCTCTGAGATTTTTATTTGCTCAGACCTTCCCCTGTTCTGGCCCAAACCCACTTAATTCTGTCTAATAAGTGGTGGTGGGTTTTGGGGGGCCTAGTTTGTTTGTGTCCTCTCTTATTTCCTTGAGCATTGGTTTGTAGTTCTCCTTGAAGAGGTCCTTCACATCCCTTGTAAGTTGTATTCCTAGGTATTTTATTCTCTTAGTAGCAATTTTGAATGGGAGTTCACTCATGATTTTGTTCTCTGTTTGTCTGTTATTGGTATATAGGAATGCTTGTGATTTTTGCACATTGATTTTGTATCTTGAGACTTTGCTGAAGTTGCTTCTCAGCTTAAGGAGATTTTGGGCTGAGACGATGGGGTTTCCTAAGTATACAATCATGTCATCTGCAAACAGAGACAATCTGACTTCCTCTCTTCCTATTTGAATACGCTTTATTGCTTTCTCTTGCCTGATTTCCCTGGCCAGAACTTCCAATACTATGTTGAATAGGAGTGGTGAGAGAGGGCATCATTGTCTTGTGCCAGTTTTCAAAGGGAATGCTTCCAGTTTTTGCCCATTCAGTATGATATTGGCTGTGGGTTTGTCATAAATAGCTCTTATTATGTCGAGATACGTTCCTTCGATACCTAGTTTATTGAGAGTTTTCAGCATGAAAGGCTGTTGAATTTTGTCGAAGGCCTTTTCTGCATCTATTGAGATAATCATGTGGTTTTTGTCATTGGTTCTATTTATGTGATGGATTATATTTATTGATTTGCGTTATGTCGAGCCAGCCTTGCATCCCAGGGATGAAGCCAACTTGATTGTGGTGAATAAGCTTTTTGATGTGCTGCTGGATTCGGTTTGCCAGTATTTTATTGAGGATTTTCGCATTGATGTTCATCAGGGATATTGGCCTAAAATTCTTTTCTTGTTGTGCCTCTACCAGGCTTTGGTATCAGAATGATGCTGGCCTCACAAAATGAGTAAAGGAGGATTCCCTCTTTTTCAATTGATTGGAATAGTTTCAGAAGGAATGGTACCAGCTCCTCTTTGTACCTCTGGTAGAATTCAGCTGTGAATCTGTCTGGTCCTGGACGTTTTTTGGTTGGTAGGCTATTAATTATTGCCTTAATTTCAGAACCTGTTATTGGTCTATTCAGTGATTCAACTTCTTCCTGGTTTAGTCTTGGGAGGGTGTATGTGTTCAGAAATTTATCCATTTCTTCTAGATTTTCTAGTTTATTTGTGTAGAGGTGTTTATAGTATTCTCTGATGGTGGTTTGTGTTTCTGTGGGATCGGTGGTGATATCCCCTTTATCATTTTTTATTGCATCTATTTGATTCTTCTCTCTTTTCTTCTTTATTAGTCTTGCTAGCAGTCTATCAATTTTGTTGATCATTTCAAAAAACCATCTCCTGGATTCATTGATTTTTTGAAGGGATTTTTGTGTCTCTATCTCGTTCAGTTCTGCTGTGATCTTAGTTATTTCTTGTCTTCTGCTAGCTTTTGAATTTGTTTGCTCTTGCTTCTTTAGTTCTTTCAATTGTGACGTTAGGGTGTCGATTTTAGATCTTTCCTGCTTTCTCTTGTGGGCATCTAGTGCTATAAATTTCCCTCTACACACTGCTTTAGCTGTGTCCCAGAGATTCTGGTATGTTGTGTCTTTGTTCTTATTGGTTTCAAAGAACATCTTTATTTCTGCCTTCATTTCGTCATTTACCCAGTAGTCTTTCAGGAGCAGGTTGTTCAATTTCCATGTAGTTGTGTGGTTTTGAGTGAGCTTCTTAATCCTGAGTTCTAATTTGATTGCACTGTGGTCTGAGAGACAGGTTGTTGTGATTTCTGTCCTTTTACATTTGCTGAGGAGTGTTTTACTTCCAATTATGTGGCCAATTTTAGAGAAAGTGCAACGTGGTGCTGAGAAGAATGTATGTTCTGTTGATTTGGGGTGGAGAGTTCTGTAGATGTCTATTAGGTCTGCTTGATCCAGAACTGAGTTCTAGTCTTGGATATCCTTGTTAATTTTCTGTCTCATTGATATGTCTAATATTGACAGTGGGGTGTTAAAGTCTTCCATTATTATTCTGTGGGAGTATAAGTCTCTTTGTAGGTCTCTAAGAACTAGCTTTATCAATCTGGGTGCTCCTGTATTGGGTGCATATATATTTAGGATAGTTAACTCTTCTTGTTGAATTGATCCCTTTACCATTATGTAATGGCCTTCTTTGTCTCTTTTGATCTTTGTTGCTTTAAAGTCTGTTTTATCAGAGACCAGGATTGAAACCTCTCCTTTTTTGCTTTCCATTTGCTTAGTGGGTAGATCTTCCTCCATCCCTTTATTTTGAGCCTATTTGTGTCTTTGCAAGTGAGATGGGTCTCTTGAATACAGCACAGCAATGAGTCTTGACTCTTTATCCAGTTTGCCAGTCTGTGTCTTTTAATTGGGGCATTTAGGCCATTTACATTTAAGGTTAATATTGTTATATGTGAATTTGATCCTGTCATTATGATGCTAGCAGGTTATTTCGCCCATTAATTAATGTAGTTTCTTCATAGCATCGATGGTCTTTACAATTTGGCATGTTTTTGCAGTGGTTGGTACTAGTTTTTCCTATCCACGTTTAGTGCTTCCTTCAGGAGCTCTGTAAGGCAGGCCTGGTGGTGACAAAATCTCTCAGCGTTTGCTTGTCTGTAAAGGATTTTATTTCTCCTTCACTTATGAAGCTTAGTTTGGCTGGATATGATATTCTGGGTTGAAAATTCTTTTCTTTAAGAATGTTGAATAGGGGCCCCCACTCTCTTCTGGTTTGTAGGGTTTCTGCAGAGAGATTTGCTGTTAGTCTGATGGGCCTCCCTTTGTGTGTAACGCAGCCTTTGTCTCTGGTTGCCCTTAACATTTTTTTCCTTCATTTCAACCTTGATGAATCTAAAAATTATATGTCTTGGGGTTGTTCTTCTTGAGGAGTATCTTTGTGGTGTTCTCTCTATTTCCTGAATTTGAACGTTGGCCTGCCTTTCTAGATTGGGGAAGTTCTCCTGGATAATATCCTGAAGAGTGTTTTCTAACTTGGATCCATTCTCCCCGTCACTTTCAGGTACACCAGTCAAACATAGATTTGGTCTTTTTCCATAGTCCCACATTTCTTGGAGGCTTTGTTCATTTCTTTTCACTCTTTTTTCTCTAATCTTGTCTTCTCACTTTATTTCATTAATTTGATCTTCAATCACAGATATCCTTTCTTCCACTTGACTGAATCAGCTATTGAAGCTTGTGTATGCTTTACGAAGTTCTCATGCCATGGTTTTCAGCTCCATCAGGTCATTTAAGCTCTTCTCTACACTGGTTATTCTAGTTAGCCATTCATCTAACCTTTTTTCAAGGTTTTTAAGCTTCCTTGCAACGGGTTAGAATATGCTCCTTTAGCTGGGAGAAGTGTATTATTACCAACCTTCTGAAACCTAATTCTGTCAACTCGTCAAACTCATTCTCTGTCCAGTTTTGTTCCCTTGCTGGTGAGGAGTTGTGTTCCTTTGGAGGAGAAGAGGCCTTCTGGTTTTTGGTGTTTTCAGCCTTTCTGTTCTGTTTTCTCCCCATCTTTGTGGTTTTATCTACCTTTGGTCTTTTTGGAGACCTATGGAAGGGGTTTTAGTGTGGATGTCCTTTTTGTTGATGTTGATGCTATTCCTTTCTCTTTGTTAGTTTTCCTTCTAACAGACAGGCCCCTCAGCTGCAGGTCTGTTGGAGTTTGCTGGAGTTCCACTCCAAATCCTGTTTGCCTGGGTCTCACCAGTGGAGGCTGCAGAACAGCAAATATTGCTGTCTGATCCTTCCTCTGGAAGCTTCGTCCCAGAGGGGCACCTGTCAGTATGAGGAGTCTGTCAGCCCCTACTGGGAGGTGTCTCCCAGGCAGGCTACAAGGGAGTCAGGGACCCACTTGAGGAGGCAGTTTGTCTGTTATCGGAGCTTGAATGCCATGCTGGGAGAACCACTGCTCTCTTCAGGGCTGTCAAGCAGGGACGTTTAAGCCTGCAGAAGCTGCCTGCTGCCTTTTGTTCAGATATGCCCTGCCCCCAGAGGTGGAATCTAGAGAGGCAGTAGGCCTTGTTGAGCTATGGTGGGCTCTGCCTAGTTCGAGCTTCCCAGCTGCTTTGTTTACACTGTGAGCATAGAACCACCTACTCAAGCCTCAGCAATGGCAGATGCCTCTCCCTCCACCAAGCTCCCGCATCTCAGGTCGATCTCAGACTGCTGTGCTAGCAGCGAGCAAGGCTCTGTGGGCATGGGACTTACCAAACCAGGCACGGGAAGGGATCTCCTGGTCTGCTGGTTGGGAAGACTGGGAAAAGCGCAGTATTTGGGCGAGAGTGTACCACTCCTCCAGGTACAGTTACTCATGGCTTCCCTTGGCTAGGAAAGGGAAATCCCCCAACCCCCTGCACTTCCCAGGTGAGCTGACGCCCTGCCCTCCTCACTCTCCATGGGCTGCACCCACTGTCCAACCAGTCCCAATGAGATGAACCAGGTTCCTCAGTTGGAAATGCAGAAATCGTCTGTCTTCTGCGTCGATCTCCCTGGGAGCTGTAGACCACAGCTGTTCCTATTCGGCCACCTTGGAACTCGTCCCTTGCGGGGCAAAGTTTTAATGCACACACGGCAGAACGATGATGGCCAGGCTCGCATAGGGGGCCTGCTGCTTCTGGCACTACCACTAACCACACAGTTTTGTTCAAATCAAACAACTGTTGTAAACTCTTTCAAGGAACTCCTCCCAGAATAGCACTGCAGCCCCAAATCCAGCTCACACCACTACCAAGGCAGGCGGCACAGCTGCCGGTCACAGCTTGTCCACATGATCTCCTGCTCCTTCTACTTCTCTAACTGTTAAACAGAAACTCAGACCAAGAAACTTCAGTACTCCCCTATCCTCTAAACTCAATCCAAATGGCTTCTAGAAGTCCAGTGCGGCCAGGAAAAAGCAGGTCTTCATCAAATTTTATACCATACCTTATTTTATTAATACAGAAAATGTTGAGAATCCTTAGTTTGATTGGAAAACATGTAAAGGTTTGACCAGATGATAAATGCCAATATTAAATCTGCTGGAATTCCGTGTACAGAATGAAGAGACAATACCAAAATTAGTTAAAGACATAATTTCTTTAACTGTGGCTTAAGAAACAATGAACGCTTAAAACCCTACCTTATGAATAAGAATAGATTTTATCTTATCTAGTGATAAAGAATGAGATGTGGAGTGGAGGTTCAGTTTTATTTGGTTTATTAAATCTGTAAGACCACAGAAGAGGCAATATAAAAAGCTTCCATGATTCTATTTATATGTACATTAGAAGGAATTTCCAGATGTTACTGTAAATCCTCAATATATTGTTTCAGCAGTACTAATTTAATGTCAGTATACTTTAGTTTTACATTAAATTATCACTGTTCTCTTGGGAATTGGATTCTTTTTTTTTTTCTCTGAGGCTTTGGATTTGACATTGTATTTGACTTTATATGTGGTAATTGACATGTGTCAGGACAATGATGAATTGGAAGCTACCCCAAACTCACACATCATAGGTAACTGTTGCTTATAGACTTTTAAAGCCAAATGGTAGACATTTCCCATTGCTTGCTCCCATCTAACAAAAGCGATAGGTTCATTGAGCTATAAAATTGTACTTATAGTTGGTTAAAAAAAGATGTAAGCCATCATTTTGTACAAACAAGCTACAACATTCTACTAATAAAAACAGAAGCTCTGTTTGTCAAAATTTACACACACACAACAACTAAACTATCAATTTTTTTCCACAAGGCTAATGTTGAATTAGAAAAAAATCTTGACATAATCATATGAGATTTACCTCTTCACTGCCCATAATCAATCAGATATTAGAAATTTTTAAACCTTTGAATTGTTTTGGAAATCAACCTAAGTGTCCTATAATGTACTGAACTTTTATTTATTTACTTATTTTAAAATGAGAACTCTAAATTCAATTTAATTTAAAATCAGTTGGAAACCTTTAATTAAAGTATACAATAAATGGAAAGTTCCCAAAGTGTAGCTCTTGAAGATTTTGGAGAACTGCCATTAATAGAAACAAAGCTAGTAAACAAGAAGACACTGAAATATATTCTTATTTGCGAGGCTGAGGCAGGCAGATCATCTGAGGTTGGGAGTTTGAGACCAGCCCAGTCAACATGGTGAAACCTCGTCTCTACTAAAAATACAAAAATCAGCCAGGCATGGTGGTGGGTGCCTGTAGTCCCAGCTACTTGGGAGGCTGAGGCAGGAGAATCACTTGAACCCAGGAGGTGGAGGTTGCAGTGAGCCTAGATCATACCACTGCATTGCAGCCTGGGCGACAGAGCCAGACTCCATCTAAAAAAAAAAAAAAAAAAGTATTCATATTAAATCAAAGTGTTTCTAAACACATAAAATAGTGATCAAATAGTATATGAGATTTTATTAGGAAAATTAGTCATTGAGCTTCAAGTATCTTGACATCTAGGAAGAATATTTTGATGGGCTTCTATTGTTAATTAATTAGATAAATTAGTACTCTGTGCTGGAATAAAGTAAAATTCAGAAAACCTACCATTTTTCAGCATCTAAATTTGATAAAGCACTTAAAACAGAGACAACCTTTTTGCTAAATTTTGTTTTTAAAAATATTTGTGGGGGAGGCGAGGATAGTTAATGTGTACAAAAAAACAAAGAATGAACAAGACCTACTGTTTGAGAGCACAATAGAATGACACTAGTCAATAATAACTTAATTGTACACTTTAAAATAACTTAAAGAGTGTAACTGGATTGTCTATAAAATTGAATTGGATTGAGGGGATGGATTGAGGGGATCATTCTCCATGATGTACACGCTTATTTCACATTGCATGCCTGTATCAAAGTATCTGATGTACCCTGTAAATATATATACCAACTATGTACCCAAAAACATTTAAAAAATTGTCAAAACAGTTACTCTAAGTGGAACAGTATCTGCGAAATATTTAGTTTTATCAATACCAAATACAGAATTGAGAATATTCTCCATCCAGCATAAACTGCCCTGATCTTACCAGTTACCTCAGCATCTGTAAAACTGGATATTTTCTCAATTGAAAAACATACTTTTTGCTACAAAGAAGAGTCAATTGATATATCAATAATTTTAAATTTATTAGTTATAGATTATAACTTTGAAGATCTCAGGAACTTTATTTTTTAAAAAACCACAAAACATTAAAACATACTAAAAAATAGAATCTTCAGAAAAATATTAATGACTCAGTACTAGAGCTAAAAATGGCTCAGAATGAATAGGTGAAGAAAAAAAGATTTTTAGGACAGTGAAACTACTCTGTATGCGTAGATACATGTCATAGTGTATACACGTTATTATACATTTGTCCAAATCCATAGAATGTATAACACCAAGGGTGAATCCTAATGCAAACTATGGACTTTGGGGATAATGATATGTAAATTATTTTGATCAGTTGCAACAAATCCATCATTCTGGTGGGGGATGGTGCCAATGGCGGAGACAATGCCATATGTAGGAGCAGGGGGGATACGGGAAATCTCTACCTTCCACTCAATTTTTCTGTGAACCTAAAACTGCTCTTTTAAAAATCTGCTAAAAAATATTAAAGCATAAAAAAGTGCTAAAGTTATGACCTAATAAATGAATTTGCAGAAATGCAAGCGAGAAAAATTTTATGATCAATCAAGATACCACATTAATAAAGTACTTCTACTTTTTGTATTGTATAAAATTCAGACACTAAAAATAACATTTCTGTAGGTTTATTTTGTTACTTACGTATCACAATTACACATATTACATTTTATAAGTAGTAAAATTTTTTAAAGAAAAAAATAACTAAGAAAGTGATTACAAAACAAGAATAATTTCTGATTATATTATTTTAATGGTCATATAGCCAATATATAGGCGTTTAAATTTTATTACATTAATGTACAAGGATATATAATTTGGCTTATTAGAAATTATTTTTGAAAATATTTTAATACGATAGTTTTTGTCATTACACTAATATAACAAAATCTTTCTCATTTGACAAATATTTCAAAAATATATAACAAATTATTTTAGCATTCCTTCTCCTCTCAAAAGCATGCTGTCACTCTGTTTTTGAAGACAGTTAAAAGAATTCCATTTCTGAACACTGTTAAGAAAAGTGGGGGAGTCCCAGCAGAGTTTTGGGCAAAGGCAATGGAATAAACATGGCATTTCTGAAAAGAGACACTTGCAAAGGCCCAACACTCGCAAAGCATACCAGGCATAATGTAAATAGGAAAAAGAAACTATTCCGTTGATTCAGTTCATTTGTAAAAGGAGTTTTCCCAAGGTAGATCACAAACAAACCAGTCCATGTGAATCACTTGCAGAGCTTTGAACCCTGAACCCAGCATTCTGAGAGTGGGAACCAGAAATGTGCATTTGAAAAGACTCCCCAGGCAATTCTGATGAGGAGCCAGTGAGCCTGCTGAACCAGGTGACTACTGACATCTCTTCTTTGAGTGACTTTCGACCATCCCACAAATGTCTGCTCGACGGTGTCCTGGAAGAGCTGGGTCATGGCTCTCATTACACACTACTCAGCATCATACACCAGGTTGTATCACACATCTCATTCACACTACTGAGCATCATACACCAGGCTGTATCACACTTTGTCCGGACTTCATGAGTCTTCCAGTACAGTGATGGGACGTAGGTTTTCTAGACTTGCCTATGGGCTTCTCCTCTTTCCTAATGAAGCTTCCACTCATCCAAACGTCCTTTGAGGAGGAAATTTATCCAACTCACTCCACTGCAAAAGCTGGAGAACTGACAAGATTCTTCCTGACCACTTCAGTGGCTATGATTATAGGCAGTATTGTGGTTTTCATTTGCAAAATGAGGAATAAAGCTGCAGACATTTCCAGTACTAGAAATGGTCTGTTTGTAGCATGAAGGTGCATATTCATTTCTTTTTCTTTTTTCCTGACCCTTAATCATTTATTACATTTTTCTCCTGTTAAACAAGCTATATAGGCTGAATACAAAGAAGTTTGAAAACACAGAAAGGTAAAAAAATTAAATTAAATTAAGATCATCTGAAATGTTAACTTCAAGAGAAAGTTAACAACTGTGAGCATTCTGGTTTGTATATTCTTGCAGTCTTATTTAATTAATTGCATTTATGTACTTTAAAAAAAGTAGAATTATATTGTATATATGGCTTTGATTTCTTAAAAATTAACATTGTGAACATGTGCAAGGAGTGTTTCTTAAATTGCTCTTTCCATTGTCACTTTTACTGGAGATTAAAGTCTCAAAGTACATTTTTTGACTTAGCAGAGGGAGAGCTGAGATGTCTCATTAAAGCTTGGCCGAGCGCCTTCTGTTACTGCTTATTTACATAAGTAGCTTTCCTAAAATCAACGGCTCCCATGAACAAGACATATATATTAATGCCTCACAGTCCAATATATGATGAGATAAATGACCACTGCTTCCTTATATAATGCGCACACACTTGCCTGAGACAAGTCAGCTGTTCTGAAACACAAGATTAGGAAATTCAATTTCATGTATACATTTCCATGAATCAAAAGTCAAAATCAAAGGACAACCTTCTGTGTTACAGTGAACTCTGGAAGTAAGTGTAAATAAGATAATAAGATATGCCCTACTTTGTTGTCATCTTTTTTTTTTTTTTTGCTTTTTGTTTTTTGTTTGTTTTGAGATGGAGTCTCACTCCGTCACCCAGGCTGGAGTGAAGTGGTGCAATCTCGGCCCACTGCAACCTCCACCTCCTGGGTTCAAGCAATTCTCATGCCTCAGCCTCCCAAGTAGCTGTGATTACAGGCGTGTGCCACCACGCCTAGCTAATTTTTTGTATTTTTACTAGAGACAGGGTTTCACCATGTTGGCCAGGCTGGTCTTGAACTCTTAACCTCAGGTGATCTGCCTGCTTCAGCCTCCCAAAGTGCTGAGATTACAGGTGTGAGCCACTACACCTGGCCAGCTATGCCCCACTTTGAACAAACATTGCTAGAATCTGGAAGAATCTTCTGTTAGCCAAGGATTGCTTTTGAGGTTCACTCCAAAAACTGAGCTACCACCGGGGACAAATGGTCTCATAATTTTGAGTGTGTAAAGTGCAGCGATTCCAGCTCATGAGCACTAATATAATTTTGGAAACAATATACCCACAACAGGCATCGTCTAGAAAACTAACAGGATCTCTTTTCCACTAGAGTGTATTGTTGTTGACTAAGTGTTTTCAGTTATTAAGCTGGAAGAGACATGCTGGGGAGAATGCTTTGGAGGAACAAGTAAGCACAGAACACAGAGAATCAGGTAACTTATTATTTCTCACCTTTCTCTTTCCTTTGTAGATAATTAGCAAACATTCCTTTCTCCACCTTATCTCTTTGTTGAGGTCATATCAGCAATTATCTGCCCTCTGGTTTATGCAAAACTACCTGAATAAGTCATAATTCAGAAGAGCTTATCAACTTTCTTCCATGTCCCGTTGCCCAAAAATAATCAGCAATGAAATATCTCAAACATACAGAAAAATAGAAGTAAACAAAACCACCTAGATTTATGAGCAGTTCACTCTCTATCTACATGCTTAATATATTTTTAATAAAGTCTTCAGTCATCACTGCCACATTTACAAGAATACTTGGCCTTTTGGCTTGTCTTCTGAACATATTTTTGCATGTAAGCCTTTTACATATTTCTCTGAAGTGGTTCGAAATCCATCAGCTCGATGGTCTTTATTGTTTCAATATGGCCCAATCCACAGGGCAGAGCATATGACTGGTGTGGTGGTTGCTGCGTGGCTTTGAAGTCACACGGATTTGAGTTCCAGTCCCTGCCTACTAGCTGAGCAAATGTGGTCAAGGGTCTGTGACTGAAATTCTCATTGATAAAGCAGGGATAATAATACCTACCTTGTTGTCGAGATGTCATGAGGTGATGTAAGCAAAGCATCAGAACAGTACCTAGCACATAGTAAGTGGTTATCATCAGCTTGTGTGTCTGCTGTATATGCTGAACTGCTTGAGTCCATCTCCAATTGAAGCTGTATTTACCAGGATCCACTCAACCACTACCTTGATCATTAACACCTCCTTATTTGTGGACTCATGAATACAAGGCACTTGCATCTGCGGGGCTTCAAACTTAGCCCAGTGAAATGGCAGTCTTTTTTAGTTTTCTAAACACCTGGAGGTGACTTTTTCCCTGCCTCTGACTTTAAAAACATAATGAAATTTTACAGAGTTTTATAGCACTGAACTTTATGTAAAATCAAAAGAGCCCGTGAAATAAGAGAGCAATTGGTTGTAAGCAAGCCCCTTCATGAACATGGGCATTTTTTTTTTAACGTCTTTGTATCTGTGAGCATCTCCTTCTCTTCCTATCCTTAAGTGTATTATTTGTCATGAAAGCAAAGTGCTTTTAAAAAATTGTGTTTGATTCCATGGTTCCCAACAATGGCTGGACTTCAAACTCACCTGTGGTGCTTAAGATTATATATCTGTATACTTTTGTTTAAAATGAATATTATAAAAATTTATGTTTAAAAATATGTGTGTATATACATACATAGTTACATACACCCAAGGCACATATGTGCATGTGTATACATAACATATACACATACATACATACACGCACACCACCACCAAAGCCCCACTAAAAAAATACTGGAATCTCTGGGAGTAATGGGGGCAAATAGGAGGAGTTAATGTTCAGGTAAGGCTATTATGGACCCATTGTTGAGAATCACAGTGGGTTAATTACTTGAAACAGTACCTATCTAAAGGACAGTTAAAGATTTTGGTATTAACCAGAAAGTCTTTTTTTTTTTTTTCTTAAATAATTTTGCAGGCAAGATGCTGCTGTTACAAGTTTTCTGTTCTGAATTATGTCTTCCATAGGAATGAAGCATCCACACAGTCCATCCAAGCATACTGTGAATCAAAACACATGTCATAGCTGGAACGAAAGCATTAGGACCATCTAACTGGATTCCACTGGAATGAGTCTCTGTGAAACCATGCCGAAGTCTTTGTAAACAACCACCCTAAAGAAAGCTACATGAAGAATAGCCAATAACAAAAGCACTGGATTTAACTCAATTTTGTGAAAAAACAAAAAAAACAAATATGATGCACACACTCTATCCTTTTGTGAACAAAATGCCACCAAACATTTGAAACTGGCCTAAGCATACATTGACATGTTTGACATGAAGCCCAGCCTTATTGATCAGCCTTTCCAATACCCCCCGCCCCCCATTCTTTATTCCCAATAGATACATCTTCTCACAGGTAATTGGGCAGAAAAATGCTTATTGACTGATCTTGAAAACTTCAATGCATCTAAAGCTGGAGAACATTCAAAAACCATGCTTCTCTTTATTTATTTCAGTTTCCATGGCAAGAGGAAAATAAAAGGCAACTGTTTTGAAAGCAACAACAGTAAACGAAGCAACATCTCTGGCAAGCAGGCAAACCTTAAAGAGTAAAAGTTATAAATCCCCATGTAGACAATACCTTGTAGGTATACCTTCCCCCAACCACGGGGATGACTCTTAATGGTGCTGACTAGGTATAGACACCAACTTGGGACCAGTAAGTTATTCTTAGAAGGTGCTAACTTTTGTATTTTCTTTTAGGTTCTTGCTGCTATGTTTCTCTTTCAATTGACTTCCAGAAATCAGACAGTGAAATCAATGGGGCTTTCCAGGCCACTGAATTCAAAGTAATCAGGGCAGGGTCAGAATGCTGATTGACTGTTTTCAACACACAGGGACCTGGAATTTGGGTTCTAGCTCTATCCCTCAGCACAGAGTCAGCAGACACAATGCCCTAGATGGTTGGATTTTCTAGTGTCTGTGACAGGCATCTTCAAAGCTGATTCCTCTCCCTCTGAGAAATCAAGGCCACCACCTTTAACTACTGACACAGTAGTGTACTTCCCGTACTGCAACCTCAGTCCCTTTTGTCACTTTTGCTTTGCATTCAAGTGCCTTGGCCAGTGTTAACTGCAGCACTTTGATTTCTCTTTCTATAAAGACTATCAAGTACCAAGTCATTTGTTTCTGCAACCATGTAACCCAAGGACATATTCTCCTGGATGAAATTCCAAGACCCCCCCCGCCACCAGAAGTCAGTGGAGAATAGGCACAGAAAAGATGATGAAGGTCATAGTTTCTAATAATTTGTTTTCTTTTTAAAAAAAATTTTTAATTTTTATTTTTTTGAGACAGAATCTCACTCCGTCACCCAGGCTGGGGTATGGTGGCATGATCTCGGCTCACAGCAACCTCTGCCTTCCAGGTTTAAGTGATTCTCCTGCCTCAGCCTCCTGAGTAGCTGGGATTACAGCCGCATGCCACCACGCCCAGCTAATCGTTTGTATTTTTAGTAGACACGGGGTTTCACCATGTTGGCCAGACTGGTCTCGAACTCCTGACCTCAAGCGATCTACCTGCCTTGGCCTTCCAGAGTGCTGGGATTACAGGCATGAGCCACCAAGCCCAACCAGTTTTCTTTCCTTTTTTTTTTTTTTTTTTTTTTTTTTTTCCTTTTTAAGGGAGGGGATTCCCTCAGTGGGTTTACTTAGAGTGAAACGGTATCTTGGCTTTGGACTTGCCCCTGCCTTCATTCATGTGGGTACTTTTTATTTAACTTTTCATTGTAGGTAGGCTCCCCTCTACCTAAAAAACCAAAGGGAAAAACCCCAATTCTTTAATTTACTCACATCCTGTTACGCTTTCACAAGCTGTTCATTTTCATACCAAGCCTCATCTTCTGCTGCCAACATCCTAGTTTGAAGGAAAGGGGGAGACAGGTCAACTGGTAGTGGTCCTGTCCTCAAAGGGAGAGAACTCCTGGGTACCTCTTTCCAGCAGCCCTAGGCTATTTCAAAATGTCAGCAGGTCTAATCCTAGAAGAAAACACCATTTACTTCTCAACCTGCTGGGGCATGGTGAGGTCTAAACAATACATTAACCAACAAAATCTGCCAGTTCCTGAGAACTGCCAGAGAACTGCCTGAGAACTCAGAGATAAACAGTAAGAGGTATGGTCAACCTTCAGGGGAATGAAGAGACTATCTCAATGCAGCAAAAATAAAGGAATTAATGTGCTCTGCAGCTTTAGAAAGGAACTCTCCTTCCTGGGGGTGCCTCCGTGTCCCTGGCTCTAGGAGACTACCTAACCAGCAAGGTTGATAGCATGACCCTGGCTCCACTGAAAACTTGGGCCTATAGACTGTCTTATTCTAAAGGGTGCTTTTTAATTCTAATTTTTTTTTAATTTTTATTTATTTTTTTTTGAGACAAGTTCTCACTCTGTTGCCCAGGATGGAGTGCAGTGATGCCATTTAGGCTCACTGCACTTTTGACCTCTCAGGTTCAAACAACTCTCTCACCTCAGCCTCCTGAGTAGTGGGGACTACAGGCATTCACCACCATGCCCGGCTAATCTTTTTTTTTTTTTTTTTTTTTTTGTAGAGACAGGTTTTTGCCATGTTGCCCAAGCTGATCTTGAACTCCTGGGCTCAAGCGATCCACTTGCCTCAGCTGGGACTATAGGTGTGAGCCACCGTGCCCACTCGAACCACTGGTCTTTTAATGTTTTCAGCTCCAGCTGGCAAACCCATTACCTGCTCTTCCTAGGCAGCATCCCTTGGTCACTATCCAGCCATCTGTTACTGCCAAAGCAAAAGTCCATGGCCCTCGAAGTGTGGGAACTCTGGCCATCGGCTACTTATCATTTTGCCCTCTGAAATCCTTATATTTCTTTCTGAATTCACACACTCAGAATTGGCAGTATATTCTTAAGCTATGAAGTCCTCCACTATATGCCCATCCCAAAAACCTAAGCGAGTAAGATTATTTAATCTAGGAAATGGTTATTTACTCTATAGAAATCTGATCTTCTCATTGCCCAATAACCATGGAATGCTGAAGAGTTGCCTCAGATGGCAGGGAGCCTGCATGCTAGCTCACACACTATCCCTAATAGCCATTTAATTTTGGGAAAAGACCCGTCTTTTCTCTGGACTTTAGTTTTCTCCTCTTTAGAAATAAGAAGCTGGTTAGCCAATCAGTCATGTCTCTTTCAGGTATATGTTCTACGCTTTGCAACTGCAAAGTTGACAATCTGAGAATGTGTGCACGCCAAAGGGGCTTAAAAAATAATATTATCTAACACTTAAGCACTTGATGTGTATTAACTCATTTAATCCTTCAATAACCATATGAGGTAGGTATTATAATTATTACCCCTATATTTTAGATGAGAAAAGAAGAAATAGAGAGAGGTTGAGTAACTTGACCCATTATCCAGTAGTTTTAAGGCTGGGGTTTGTATTTTTAACCACCATATGCAGGATAATGGGCAGATCTGAGGACTAAGCTTCCTTGACGTTTGCATGCTTAGAAGGTTACAGAGGGAGTGTGAGAATCACAGTTAATCTGCAAATCAATGGTATATACCGAAAATCAGGACAGGGGCCAGAGTGTCCTCACTGTTACCTGTTGGATTCCCTTGGCATTATTTAGTGCACAACATTACCATAGGAAAATCACAAGCACTTTTATGGCAATGGTGTAAATTAGGAGGATTCTGACAGTAAAGCCCAGAGTCATTCCAAGATAAAACGATCAGTTTGGGATCTCTTGGCCACCTACTGACCTGTCAGTGTATTGAGGCAGTTTGGGGTAGGAAGTATGTCAAATGATACTGGAGGAGGGAATACAAGAGGCCGGGCAGAGAGTGACTTATTTATTAATTATCTATTTATTTATTTTTGGTTGAGGCAGAGTCTCGCTATGTTGCCTAGGCTGGTCTCGAACTCCCACCTTGGCTCCCAAAGTGCTGGGATTACAGGTGTGAGCCACCATGCCCAGCCCCAGAGAGTGACTCTTGACTAGTTTGGAGAAATAAACTGACTTCAAGGGTCTTCAAAACACAGCCACTTGGAGGTCCTGACTGCCCTTTTCTGATCTCCAGCATGAGCCTCTGCAGAAGCAAGTGCCTTTCACTGAGTCTGACCCTAGCTGAGTGAGATCTTTGCAGAGGAAAGGACAACATGCTTATTTTTTTTAAATGGGCCCATAAGAACCCCGAAACCAAACAAGAAAATCAGGAAAGTTTCTTGTTAGTCTACTACAGACAGGTAGTGATGAGAACTTGGAATACTATCTAGATTCTGAGCTCATTGCTCTAGGGCCCAGGGTCCCAAATGGTGCCTCTTTTCAATGCTTATTTACCATAGTTTCATAGAAACATGACCAAGTGTCAGTTAGTTCTTTACCCTTCGGGTTTTTTCCATCATTAATCCTCTTGGCACAGGGTGGGGCTGAGCTGGGAACAATATCATATAACTCTAGTTGCAGCTGTCCTTATGCAAACCAGCATATCCGCAAGTTACCATGACCTTTTGGGGGAAACCAACATAACAGTGCTGGTGGACACAGCTTCAGGCTGCTAGAGGTCACTGATATGTACCATTGCAACTTGGAAGGAATTCCATATATTGATACTTTCTTTGATTCTATCAACCAAACGGCTTTGTGGGGCACATGCTATAGTACTGAATGAAATACCTTTCTTTCCCTTGAGCCAAAAGCACATAATAAGCTATAGATTCTTTGCTGCTATGCCATTGATTTACCTACTGTACTTTGTAACCCAGGAGGGCTATGAATCATCCTTCCTAATTTCAGCTTCACAAAACAGGTTGCTTTTAATACAATCTCTTCTTTATCTAGATTTATTTGTTCTGAACCCTAACACATTCTTAGGGCATTATTTCTTACTGAAGACAACTCTCCCTTAGTGTTTGTTTAATGGTAATTTTTTATTCAAGTTCTTCCTGGGTGTCCGCTTGCCCTTTAATTTTCTTTTTCACAGTGCTTTATATTCCTAGGAATACCTGAGTCACAAGTGGTCAGATTGCCAGCATTCAGCAATCCCAGGCAGGGGGCAGATTTTATTGCCTTTCTCTCTTCTCCTCCACGGGTTGCTCAACAGTGTTAACATTCTGATTTCTTTTAGGAGTGGAGCTCCAAGATAATCTCTTACCCTGCCCTTCTTACTCATTAACTTTAATTTCCAAAAAATGCCGCCGATACCATTCAAACACTAGTTCAGGAATTACCACGTGCTGGGCACTGTACTGGGTGCTGGAGATACTGAGAAGAAGAAACATGATCTGTTCTCAGGAAGCTCACAATATGGTGAATGTGATAATTAAGGTCATGATTAAACAAAGCAGGAAGTACTCCAAGAAAGGTGAGCAAGGCATTACAGGTATGCAGAGGATTGCTTGACCCAACCTGGAAGAATCCAGAAAAACTCATCCAAGGCTGGGCACAGTAGCTCATGCCTGTAATCCCAGCACTTTGGGAGGCTGAGGTGGGCGGATTGCCTGAGGTCAGGAGTTCAAGACCAGCCTGGCTAACATGGTGAAAACCCATCTCTACTAAAAATACCAAAAAATTAGCCAGTTATGTTGGCGTACGCCTGCAGTCTCAGCTACTCGGGAGGCTGAGGCAGGAGAATCGCTTGAACCCCCCGGGAGGTGGAGGTTGCACCGAGCCAAGATCATGCCATGCACTCCAGTCTGGGCAACAGAGGGAGACTCTGTCTCAAACAAAACCCATCCAAGAGCCAAGAAGAGGTTATGCTTGACCTGAACCTTAAAATACAAGTAGCTGTCATTTTGGGGGAGTCCAAACAATGGATGGGTTGATGTGGATACAGCAAAGGACATAATTAAAGAGTCATGGCCAGATCATGAAGGATTTTGTTCCTCGGGCTAAGAAATTTTAGCTTTACCTTAAAGTAGAGGAGCTACCAATTCCGAGCTACAGCGAGGAATCGTAATATAGCATTGTATCATGTATGAAAGGACAAAATTCATGCTACTTTCCTAAAAGTAAGATTCTGTGTCCCCGTTTGCTTCATCTAATATTGCTTCTTGGCCCCAGCAATAGCACACAGAGCACCGGAAAACTAGTTCAGGCTTATCACCAATTCCTGAAGCCAGTCTACCTCTCCAGGACACTTAGAGCCATGACCTTCTCCAAGCTCTCCAAGATCGCTGTGCTTGTTGCATATTCTGGTCTGCAGAAGGTGAAAGGGTACTAATCATCCTAGAAGCCTTCCTGGAACAGGATCTCTTTGCCTAGGGTCATAAAATGAGGGATCCAGATGGTACAGGGAAGTGTAAATGGCAGTTGGAGATGGGACAACAGTAAGTGCAGAGGCAGAGACACAGGTCAGCAGACCCCACATGTGACATGTCAAGTACAGGGAGTAGGGGAAGAGGTGGGAGACATGGTACAAGAAGTCAAAAGATCCACTGGTTCCCTGTATTCCATGAAAACGTTACTGTACAGAATATTACACATTTCCAAGTTGGAGACACTAAAATACAAAGGTACAAATTGTCTAAGCGCAGATATGAGGCAGTGGCAAATTAATAAAACAAATCACATGCCTGTTTCTAACCTGTTTACCATGGCCAAGAAGAGTCTGTGAAATCAAGTTAGACATTCTGTCTTTGAAATCATGCATTCACAGAACTTATGGAAGCTTTCAAGTGGAAATGTCTTTACTCTTTAAAAAAAAAAAAAAAGCTCAAGTAATGCCCTAATCATCTCTTATTATTGTTTGTATCTGCAGGATTTGGAAACTGCTCAGGAAAACAACTGGATTCCTAATAATCCCTGAACAATTCTTTTTTTTTTTCTTTTCCTGTGGACATTAGCCTTTTAATTTTTCCACAAGGAATTCTGGGCCAATTTAACTAATAAATAATAACAGAATTTTCTAAGTGCATGGTACTTTTGCTTTATCTGATTTCATGGCTTTCCTGTTCCATGACAACCCACTGTCTTTTCCCTCACATGTATGTTTTATGATGGTTTTTTCAGGCATTTGAAAAAGCTTTAACACTTTCACTCAAGCTAAGACACCTCAATTTTCATTAGTGACTTTATTGTCCAGGAGGTGTTACAGAGACTACCAAATAGTTTCAAAATTACTTGCTCAGTCACGATGCCCACAGTTGACTCTCAGCCTAGCAAAAGAGAAGAAAAGAAGTTCTTGTGTTTACTGTCCTGAACATACCCTTATGCTAGTATGCAATCTCCTCAGGTCCCCTCAATTAGGGTCACATTTCCGTTTTACAGTGATAATGCAAGAGACTCTGGGTACTGTTCAATGAATATAGGTTTAATGTAATATATGTATTTCTGCAAATATATATATATATATAAATGAGGATTTTGTAAGCACCATTTAAAATTACCTGAGGGGCATTTTCTAAGTAACTGTGAGTCTTTTTGTAAAGCAAAAGCCCTTTTAAAAAATAACATCATTCCTTATTTCATGTGTTCTAAGTTCAGGTTTTCATGGACTAATTTCAAAAAATGATGGAGGCCACCATTCTTTTTCATTTGTTGAGTAAGCTTTACACCAACACAAGAGGCCATCACGCTTTGCCCTTAAGCTTTACTTAACAACGATATTTGAGCATGTGGGCTACTGAGACAGAAAAGTTCCCCCATGAGTCAGCAGCCAGCCCCAGCAAAAGATTTCATGGTCCCAACTAACTAGCCCACAGCCTTTCATATTCAGTTCTGCTTTCTCAGTGGTCTCTAGGAGTCTAATTTCTGGTTAGGAACTGAGAAATTGGGTTGATTTCCACTTCCGTAGGATAGCAAGATATCCGCAGGATGTCAAGGGGGCTGGGCCAGTACCCCAAGTTAGCAGTAGTGAAAAAAGTGGCTGAGCCCCAGGATCTAGAGCACATGAACTCTTTCCCACCTCAAACCCCCATTCCACCCTCTACCCCATGAGGTCCCAAAGGAGATGAGCAGAGAACAAGACCTGGCAAAGAGAGGTTGTTAATGGAGCTCCGACCTCAAACCCTGATGTCTCACCTTAGACTCATTTCCAGGAGTGGGGCCCTGGGTTTCATATTTTAAAAAGCATGGCATATTGGCGTATGTCTCCCCCGACCCCCACCACCACTGCCATTGGAATGCCTAAGGCCAGTGGTGTGCTGAAGCTGGCTTGTACCAGCTCGTGAGAGCTGATTGTTAAACTTTTAAGAACTTTGCAAGCTGATTATTAAACACAGCTATTACTGAAAGCTAAATTATATAAGCTTAGGATTCAATAAATTATACCGGAAGCAAAGATAATAAATACCCAAAGCTCACCACTTCCTATTCATTTACTATTATCTATGTTCTTGAGGTTTTTACCTCTATTGTATCTTTAATGGTGGAAATACTATGTAATAATGGAGAGCTATGCATCTCTTCCTAATTCTACACTCAGTAACATTACATTGGAAGCTTGAAATCAGAGCATTTATACCACCGAAATCAGCAAATACTACAAATCAGGGATTGATTTATTGTGGATTGTCTCTAGACTTAAGAAAATAATAGAGAAAAATGTAAATAATGCAGATTAAACTTAAAAATGTCATGTTTGTAGTTGGTACACTATGAATAGCACAAAATTTGAGAAAATATTCCAGTATTTGAAAATTATCTGATTCAGTAGAGAAAGTACTCTCTTCATGGACAAACATGTAAACTTCTGTGTCACTGTTGTTTTAACTTTTATCTTATTCTTTTGTGTAAAGGAAAATGTCAACCAACATTTAGGTCAGTAACCTACTTATTCATCAACTGCAATCATAGTTTGGCTGCAAATAAAAGCGTTCTATAAAATCAGGTAAAGCATTCCGTGATAACATACAATAAGGAGTATTGTATGTTCTATAGTTCTTAGTAAGTCATATATTTTACTCCTTGTAAATCAGTAAAATTTATAACAGACTTATAATTGGTTATATATCCATATGCATTTCTTCTCCAAAGAGCTGGTTGTTAAACATTTACCGGCACACCACTGCTTAAGCCAAGAACAGAAACAGGTTAAACAGCCTCCTGGGCTTCTATCCCATAGGTTCACACCCTTATCTCAGCCCTTTAGTTTACCATTCTCCTGTCAAGAAGAAAACAAAGAATAGAAACCTTTGTACAATTAAATCAAAAGGAAAAGAAATATTCCCTAAGATCTAAGGCAGATAATTTAATCTGCCTAATCCAGCCCTTCCTAAGAAGGCTGCCTCTCAAGTAGGAATGGCTTGAGGCTGATGTGACCACACCTGCCATGTGGAAAAGCTGAGAGCAATAATAACAGATGGCAGACTTGGCACTGTAGCCTAATAAATATTCTCCCTTTTAATGAGTCCACATCAGATGGCTCCTTGGGGGCAATGGGGGAGAAGCAGGGAACAAAAGCAGTTTCTCTTGCTTCCTGGTCGGATCTCGTACATGTTTGGGGGTACATAACAAAAGATCAGTGAGCATTTCTGCCTTCCACCAAATGGAGTACACATGAACATCACAGCTTTGCGTACAATTACTTTAAAATCATCAATACTTGTATTTGAAAACATCTTTGTAGACTTGGAACCAACCCAAATGCCCATCAATAATAGACTGGATAAAGAAAATGTGGCACATATACACCATGGAATACTTTGCAGCCACAAAAAAGGATGAGTTCATGTCCTTTGCAGGGACTTGGATGAAGCTGGAAACCAGCATTCTCAGCAAACTAACACAGGAACAGAAAACCAAATACGGCATGTTCTCACTCATAAGTGGGAGTTGAACAATGAGAACACATGAACGCAGGGAGGGGAACATCACACACCAGGGCCTGTTGGGGGGTGGGGGGCTAGGGGAGGGATAGCATTAGGAGAAATACCTAATGTAGATGACAGGTTGATGGGTGTGGCAAACCAACATGGCAAGTGTATACATATGTAACAAACCTGAACGTTCTGCACGTGTATCCCAGAACTTAAAGTATAATAAAACAACAAGAACAACAAAAAAGAAAATCTTTGTAAAGTGAAATAAAACCCAAATACCAGACAAATACATGGAATCTTGAAAAATCCTGTTACTCAATGGTGTTGTTTGGTCTTTAGGCCAATGCTAATAATCAACACTAACCACTAAGGAGTGTCCTTCAGTGCAGGAAAAAAAAATGCAGTGAAACTTTACATTTTCTTTTTAAATGGCCAGCTCTGTCTCTCATCAAATCAGATGACTGACTGACCATATTATTCTTGAGCTCCTGTGCACGTACCTATTCAATTTTTCTACATACTTCCACGAAATTTATGTTCTATATTTTTCATGAAACATACCATGAGTATTTTCCATGTTGTTAGTCTTATTCCCCCCTGCATGTTCTCCTTAATAATTTTTCTCTTGAAAAAAGCAAAAGTCCACCAAATATCTGTTATCTGAGTATCATAAGGTAGAAACCTTAGGTAAAAAGTCATTCCCCAATTAAAGGGAGTGCAATTTTTCATTTATGAAAAAACACAACTGGGGGATATTTTTAAAAGGAGGCTTCAGGTTAGTTGCTTTTGAATGTCTTATTTACCGTATCATAAAAAATAAATATACAAGATGACTTATCTGGTCTCCAAATAAGAAATGAGTCAATGCTACGAGCATAAAATGTTCACATATCCACCCACCATAAAAGGGAAACTGGCCTCAGAACATTTTACAAAAAAGCATAATGTTATGGGCTAGTCTTGACAAATAGTGCTTTTACTTAATCGAGTATGTTTTTGACAGCTAGGCACAGAACACTCCAGCAAGATTCCCCCAGTCCCTTAAAAAAGGAATGCATTTGGTGGGGGTCAGACTGACTCATTGAAAGGGTTGGAGCAGGGAAGAGTGAGAAATCCAATCAGCCTGTCATCCTTACAAGGTGTGAGCCTTGTGTTAATACTGTACAAAATAATTGTGTTGGTGATAGTAAGGATGAGGGAACAAGTGACATACTTTAAACTTGCAAAATAATCTGGGGAAAACCAAGGAGGTACTTCTACCTCCCAAGCTCTGCTAACTGCATAGAAAGAACATGTACTTTCAACCACAAAGACATTTATTACATTTTCTTTTTAAAAATTTATTACTTTTCCTCCTCTGTAACTTGTCATCCCAGACCAAAACTAAAGAACTCTTTGGTCATCACCCAATAACATGCCCTTTAAATAAGAACACTGAGGTATTATTTTCCTGTTTGACTCTTAATTAATTCACACCAGCTACCACCCCTTCATGAATCAGAAGGTTGAAGGAATACACTATACATTAATATTAAAATCTAAAGGAAACCAAATGTCAAATTACTGTGGTTTTAGCCACAGACTTATTTCTATGGCATGTGCAACCCCTGTAGAAGATGCTCCCGAGAAGTTCAACAGGCTGTGTTCACTATATCAAAAGAGAACTATTACCCAACTTATAAAAATCTTTTTAATGTGCTGAACTCCAAAATTTCCTAAGAAATAGATGTTTTTAGAAAGGAGACTTGTGAGGCTCTGGGGCCAGGCTGCCTGCCTTGAAATACGGTCACTGCTACTTATTAGCTGTGTAATCTCAGATTTAAGTTACTTAATGAACCTTCTGTGAAATATTGATAATACTAATACCTTTCTGTGAAATACTGATAACACAACCTATCTTATTGGGTTTTGGTGAAGACTTAATGAGTTAATAATATGTATAAAGTATTCAAAACAATGTCTGGAATACAGTAAGTTAGCTATTAGTATATTATATTTTCATGGTCAACATATGTATAATTTGAAGAAAAGGTCTTTATCTACTTAATGAGAACCAAGTAATTAGATAACTATAAAAATATCTACCTAGAAAAAGTCCTATAATTTCCCAAGTAAAATACTTATTAATCTATGTTTACCAGTTTTTCCATTTTTAAGACTTTTTACAGCTGGTCATGGTGGCTCATGCCTGTAATCCCAGCACTTTGGGAGGCCAAGGCAGGAGGATTGCTTGAGGTCAGGAGTTCGAGACCAGCCTGGGCAACATAGCAAGACCTCATCTCTACAAAAAATTTTAAAAACTTGCCAGGCGTGATGGTACGCACTTGTAGTCCCAGCTATCAGGAGGCTGAGGTGGGAGAATCTCCTAAGCCCAGGAGTTGGAGGCTGCAGTGGAGCTATGATCACGTCACTGCACTCCAGCCTAGGCAACAGAGAGAGACCCTGTCTCAAAAAAAAAAAAAAAAAAAGAAAAAAATTTAAAAAGCCTGGGCGCGGTGGCTCACGCCTGTAATCCCAGCACTTTGGGAGGCCAAGGTGGGCAGATCACGAGGTAAGGAGTTTGAGACCAGCCTGGTCAATATGGTGAAACCCTGTTTCTACTAAAAATAAAAATTGGCACATGCCTGTAGTACCAGCTACTCGGGAGGCTGAGGCAGAAGAATCGCTTAAGCTGGAAAACGGAGGTTGCAGTGAGCCGAGATCGTGCCACTGCACTCCAGCCTGGGCAACAGAGGGAGACTCCATCTCAAAAAAAAAAAAAAAAAAAAAAAACTTTATGAAGCTATTACTCTCAATATTTTCCAAAGTTGCAAGGACTCATTTGCGAAATGAGAAAACAAAAACAAACACACAAAAGCCCTGTACCCCACTGAATCTTGAGTTTCCATTTTGTCCAAGTCATAGTCTCCCGTATTCTCAGTTCATAGGAATAATGACTTCCAGCATTCTCCAGTAAAAATGGCTAAAATTGCACATTTTTAAAGGCGGGATTAGCGTTTGCTCTCAAAATAGGTACATCGACAAAAGTGTCCATTCTCATTCTTCTAAAGTTGTATCAAACATTGAAAGTATAAAGAGAATACCTGAAACTCATCATGACATTCTAACTAGTATTTAACAGGTTAAGGCAGAATACTTTCTTATTAATTTACCAATAATAGACAATTTGGTGTCAAAATGAAATGCCCACAAATAACATAAGGTATTTAGTAAGTAATAAAATCTACTTAACTGTGGGAGCTATGCAATTCATGAAGAGCTACATGGTACTAGCAGGTGAGTAAGTTGGCTTCCACACCTCAAACATTCATTTTGAACTAATAAAGAGCATATTAACTTGATTTTTAGCATTAAAAATACTGAATGTTAAAAATAATATTTGATTTTCACTCACTCCTATAGTTTTGCAAGTTAGCTCGAGAGTCCAAAGATGCTTATGATTCTCTGAAAATAAATTTAACAGATGATCCCCTTGAGAACAAAACAATGAGCGTCAAGATATGTAAAGATGCATTTGCACACACAGGACACCTTCAAAAAAAGCAGGGGCCAGGGAAGAGGTAGGAGAGTTGAAGAATTAAAATACATTTTGATTAGACAACGGTAAGTGTCTATTCCTCATCTTTCTTTAGGACGGATGACTTAACAAAGAATATTTTCTTTGCGAATAGTAGGGTGTAAATAAAACTTTCTCTGTACAACTAACATGCCATATGAGTAATTTTCCTTCCAACTAAAAGTTTCTAGGCTTTGTGGGAATTAGTTATTGTTGTGATATGTACACACAGGTATTGAGCCAAGGTCCTGGAAAAATGAACTGATGAATTTATGTATTTGGGTGTTAAATATTTGATTACTGAAATTAGGGAAACCAGACAAAAAGTGGGGTGGGTTATACTCAGTAATGCAAAAAGCTGGTTCAAATGTCACCTAGTCAATGAAGCCATCTTCTCAACTATGCACATGCTTTGATTATAGAATCTGCTGAATTATGTTTGGGCATGTAAATATCACTTACCTATAGTTTAAATTGATTGAGGGTAAAGGCTGTTAGCTATGCACAGCAGATATTCACAACTGTTGAATGCATAATATATTTCAACATTTTACTTTTGCTTTACATTTTAGTAAATGTCTCACCCAGCAAATCAGGTAATTTACTTAAAACAGTGACAGTATTTTCAAAATAATATCTCTAGCTTAGATAGATTTCTACCCACAAAACAGTTCTAATATAGACTGCTATACCTTACTAAGCTATCCTATCATCTGGTATTATTCCCAATTATAAGATTACATTTTATTTCCCAGCCTCAGGTTGGGCTTTGTGCTAGTTATTAATTTACTGTTTCTCAGCTTCAAAATGGTGGACATCCAGTGGTGCTTTGACCCTGCCTTTTGCCCAGAATAGCAGCCCCAGCTTGGCCTTATCAATACCTTTGCATGGTCTTCTCAACAGACACCACATACCCCAGGCCGCAGTGGTACCCTGACCCTCAGCGTGCCAGCTGAGGCTTACGTGTGCCCTGGATGGTTGCTTCCCCTTCACTGGACAACTATGAACAGACCCAACCTGGCGACCCAATGAACTTCTCCACCATAAACTACTGAACCCTAACTGATTAGACCATGACTGATACAGTAATCAATATAGAAGCCTGAGGCCTCAGAAATGAAAACTAAGGTAACCACTTTTGGTCTTAACTGGGACAAGAATCAACCTATTTATTGAAAGTAGCAGCTTCTAGGTCATTTTTTTTTTATACCTAGAGGCACTAAGCCCCATCAGCTTCTATTTTTCTACTTAGAGGTACAAGTGATGACACTTAACATTAGTTACTTCAGGTTAAGAGCTGTCCATAATGAAAAAACAACAACAAAAAATCCCTCAGTACTTTCTGCACACTAGAAAGGCACAAAGAGAGCCACTACAGAGAAAATATGAATTAATTTTAAAAGTGGTTAGGTCGTAAACACATTAGCTTTAATACAGAAGAACAGGAACTCAGGAACTTCAGTTACCATAGGTGGAAAATACTCTTTGCATACAGAACTTTCAGCCGCAGCAGCACAACTTAGAAGGTGTATATTGCAATGCAGTGAGCTTGAGCTTTGGTGCTGCACAGATCTTGGTTCAAATCCCAGTTGTCGTACTTTTGAGCTTTGGCCAATTTACATAATCTCTGAATTTGTATGTGTAATCTCTGAGATTCTATGCGGGAGGTAAATGTTACATCATCCATGATGATTGATAAGTAGCATACACTTCCTGCCTATAACTGAAGAAATTAAAAAAGATAAGCAACCAGTACAGTGATTAATTTTCCCCCTTGCTTCCTCATTTTATAGGTAAGAATACTGAGGCACAGAAATAAGGTTTTGCCAAGAGCGCAGTAACTTCTAAAGCTGAAACTAGCCTTAAAAGTCTTGATTTTAAGAGTATGCAAACTTGGGAAACAAAGTTACATACAATCACCAGTAGTTCCACTGGGAAGAATAACTTAAGTTATGGTATTAAGTACCATCTTATAAGTTCCTGATATACCATTCCCCATCAGACTGATGAGCTACTAAGTGCAATTTATGAGATTAAAAATTTAAATTTAACATCTTACATTTCCATAATACTTTATGCTTTATAAAGTGATATAATCAATGTTATTCCACTTGATCACAAGAGTCTTATATTTAAAAGGCTCATCTTTTAGTAATAGGAGTAACAGAATTTCATAAACTAAGAAATTTTAAAATATACATTTTAGGTATTAAAAAAAGCAAATCATGACTAATTAATGATTTTGCTAAAAGTTTCTCAACTTTTAATGAAAACCCATTTTCCTTAATGGTATGTATCATACAACAGAGGTTAAACTGAGAGATTCACAAAACATTCATTTTCCCAGGAAGAAAGCTGCTTGGACTTGTTGCAAAAAAAGCAAAGATACGGATAAAATGTGAAAATAGAATTTATATGATCAAAGAAACAAAAGACTGCTATTGAGAGGCTAATAATTTTTCAAAATACATCTGTAAACCTTACAGTTTCAATTAAATGGTGTTTCAATATTACAAGTCTAGACAAACCATATCCTCCCTCCAACCCTGTTTGCCCCCCATCTCCTGAAACCAATGGAGACACACACACATTTTTGTAATATAAAACTATGTAAAAGGATTTTATAGAAAGACTATTGCCTTTTCCATTCACAAAAAGTTTAAATGTCTACTGAAATACACTATTTGCTGTACATAACTTACTGGAATCTTATTCGTTTTCATATTGGTGAACGTGAGCCATGGAGGACTAGTGTTTTGGATGGGAAATTCTATCACTGTTCCTGCATTATCTGACTGAATACATCTACCCCATATATTCATAAGACACCTCATAGCATGGTAACATGCCAACTTTTACCCATTTCCTCCTTCTTTAAAGACACTGACCTAGTGCAGATCCTAATCAACTTATACTTTCATTATGGCAAAATCTTCCAGTTCTTTTCTGATGACTGCTATCCTCTCCCTGTTTTGACCTACTGACTTGCACATTATGGCCAGACTGATAAAAGTAAATCTGCACTGTTACTTCCTTCTTCAAAAATCAGTAAAAGTTTCCCACTAATAGCATCCCATTTAAATTAATGGTTAATTCTTACCGGCCATACACTTGATTCTTTCACTTCTTCACTTCACCTGAGACAAAGTCCATCATAATGCAGTATGTGCGGGACACGTTTTCCTTGAAAACTAAGATTTAAGTGCCAATTTAACTTTTCTCCCACACTTTCACTACAATATATTAACTTACAGCACCACCTATCTTTCAATAAAAGCTTAACCAAGAACTAGATTTACATTTAGCATAATGCCCTTAGGCTGGCTGATACAATTTAGTGTAAAATTAAGTCCAAAGTGCAAAATATTTTTTAAAAATCTAAAAATAAAAGTTTCATTCGACATTATATAAAATACCCATTAAGAGTATATATAAAGTTCTCAGTAATGTTTAAAACCAAGGACTCTGGCCAGTCGTATACCAATGACTTAAATTTAGCACAAAATAGTGAATGTAACTAAAAATTGCAATCAGCGAGCAGAGCCAGTTTGACTTATAAATTCTAATATTCATTGATATTTTCACATCCAAGTGTTAACTGGAATGTGTGTTGCCTTTTCCTTAGAAGTACTCCCAATATTTTGGTCATTTTTTCTGTTCAAACAAGAAACAAAAATGAAGAGGCAGAAATTTTTTTTATATCCTCTCAGTGTGATACCTATCTATTTTAAATAAATTAGTAGTATAATGTGGAAGGGGCCTGGTAGTGTAGCACACAGTTCAAACCAAGTATACCATACTCCTTTCTCAGTGTTATTCTTTGATCTCAAACTACAACAAAATTCTTTTTAGAAATGAAAACTTCCTTAATCTAAACCACCTCATCAGTATAGAAATACCAGAGACAATATTTTTGGTCAGAATGAACAAGCATTTGTACCAGAAGCTGAGAAGTCAAACCATGAGAGGCAGGTGATTATATGAAAAGCCTGGTTGTGAGGTCCATGAATTAAAACATCTTAAATTTATACAGCGATTTCCCTTGTACAGTTCAACTCTCTAAGGCAGGCTGAGTAAATATTAATGCCCATTTCACCTATAGGGAAACAGATGCACTACTGCTTATGTACGTCAGTTCATGAAAAGCAGAACTCTGAGTCAGGCTTATTTATGGCTGCCTCATCATGTTCTGTTCCTCAGATATAAAAATTAAAATGAACAAACAAACAACAACCACAACAAAAACAACGGCCTAGCACAGTAGCTCATGCCTGTGTAATCCCAGCACTTTGCGAGGCCAAGGTGGGTCGACTACTTGAGCCCAGGAGTTTGGGACCAGCCTGAGCAACATGGCAAGACCCTGTCTCTAAAAAAAAAAAATAGAAAAATTAGCCAGGCATGATGGTGCATGCCTTTAGTCCTTAGCTACTCGGGAGGCTGAGGGAGGAGGATCACTTGAGCCTAGGAGGTCGAGGTTGCAGTGATCTGTGATCCCAGCACTGCACTACAGCCTGGGCCACAGAGCAAGACCCCATCTCAAGAAAAAGTAGTAATAATAATAATAATTTCGATTAAAACTGACCTTGGAAATAATGTAACATAAAAATTATTTTGAAAATAGCCTTTGGTTATAATTTTCAGTGTAACTGTTAATATGACAAAAGTTTTGAAGACTATTTTTTTTAAATGGCTTGTTAAACTGAGTTGGATAGTTGGATTAAGCATTTTCTTAACAATTAATACACCAGGGTGCTAATTATTTTAGAAGGCTCTTCTGTTAGGGTTTATAATTCATCATGTCATACCATACAACTTGTACTATATTAGCCTTTCTTCTATTGATTCATGTCAGCTGACACTAACATAAACCTTTTTGTGACAAGTTAATTAAATTACCATTCATTACCATCCAACTTAAATATAGTTATCTTGACAGTTATAGCAGAGCTGCCAAAAGAGAGAAACAAACTCTTCTAAACTTTATAATAATTAGTGAAAATTTCATATTAGTGAAATAAAAAGGATAGTTCTCATCTGTTTGGCTTCATAAGTCTTCTATTCTCTTTCCAAAGTTTTACATTTCCTATCAGTTACTTTCCTAATGTCATACTAATTTTAAATTCCGTCTTTTCTCCTGTAGAGCCCTTTTAAAGGTGTTCTAGAAAAACTACTAATCAACTTCAAGGTTTATTGAACTTTTGTGTTTTAACATTTAAAATACAATAGAAATGTTTATATTTTCTCACATTTTACTGCACAATACAAAACTGATTTAAATGCATTAAGAAACAACATTTTGTTTTTAAATAAACACTAACAAAATGTTTGGCAAGAGATAACACAATTTATTTAAATATATTCCGACTCAAGATGAAGGCAAGCGGTTTACCTAGAAAGGTTTACATATTTTAGCTATAGTTTTTCATTGAACCATTTTTTTGAAATGTCATTCTTTTCATTCATGCTTCTTTTATCCTCTTGCTTTAGAAGTTCACAGTGTTATATAAGTGAAAAACAAGACAGATAGAAACCACCCTAAACATATGGCTTTATGTACATAAAAAATTCAATAATGTTGCCATAACCCCTAATACAGTGTGATCCTTATTTATTTATTATCCAGAATAAACTTCTGTACCTATTAAATTCTTCAAGTATATCTAGAGCAGTGCTTGTAAAAGTGAGGTCCCACTGCTAAGTTAATGGCCATCTCTTTGAAGATCACTTCTACCTTCAACATAATTATGGTACAGTTCTAATAGTTTTTTTAATTTTACATGTATCATACATTCTCAAATATTCCAAAATGCTCAAATGAGCCAAACATATACTTTGATTTACATCTAGTTTAATATTCCCTTTATACAGCACCAGAGGTTAAAAATGGATCTGAGTAACCAAATATTCTCTTTCCTTTATTAGTTAGAGTTTATCATCATTTATTTCTATAACATTAAACCCAAATTGAAGATGAAGACACCCTGGGTCAAATGCTTTCACCTTAAATAAATAAACATTTCATCCACTTCATACTTAAATACCAAGTTGTTTTCCTATAACATATGTTTCTTGGTAACAACTACTGAATCAACTAAGCTGAACACCAACTTCTTATCTTTGAGGACTAGGCAAGTCGGATAGGATTCTCTAGGTTTGCTTTAAAACTTTTAAGAAACCTGGTTGCCAGTTCGTCATCAACCACTCGACTGTCACTTGACATTGTGACTGTTATGAGCTGGCGCTGCTGCAGTTTGGCATTTCCCTCTTCATCCTCAGTGAGCTTCAGCACAGGTCGGAACCTCCCAACCGCCAAAATGCAGGCCTGAGGAGGGTTAATCACTGCAGTAAATTCGTCGATGCCAAACATCCCCAAGTTGGAAATACTAGGGGGAAAAGAAAAAGCTCTGAAGGAGGCATGTCCTTAATCAAAGTCCCCTTTCCGTGAAGCACATATTTTATATATTTTACTAGGCAGTGTAGTAAGGCAAGAAAAAAATATATGAGTAATGAAAAAAGGAAACATTTAGTATTTACAAATAAATTAATTGTGTACACAGGAAAAATGAGACTATAGATAACTAGTAAAATTAATAAGTAAATTTAGTTAAGTCATCAGATAAAAGGTCAATATAACAATCCATTTTATATCGAGTCATGTCCCACATAACGAAGGATCACATATACAACGGTGGTCTTATAAGATTATAATGGAGCTCAGGAATTTCTGCTGCCTAGTGGCATCATAGCTGTCATAACATCATATTGCAATTACTTTATTTTAAAAATAAATTTAGTGTAGCCTAAGTGTGCAGTGTTTATAAAGTCTACAGTAGTGTATAGTGATGTCCTAAGCATTCACTCATTCACTGATTCTTCCAGAGCAACTTCTAGTCTTGCAAGCTCCATTCACGGTAAGTGCCCTAAACAGGTGTACCATGTTTTACTTTTTACATTTTTACTGTACATTTTAAAAATGCTTAGATATGTTTAGATACCCAAATACTCATCATTGTGTCACAACTGCTTACGGTATTCAGTAGAGTAACATGCTGTATAGGTTTGCAGTCTAGGAGCAACTGGCTATATCATACAGCTAAGGTGTGTAGCAGCATGTACCATTTAGGTTTGTGTAAGTACACTCTATGATGTTTGCATGATTTGCGTAAGTACACTCTATGATGTTTGCATGATGAAACTGCCTAACAATGCATTTCTCATATCCCCATCATAAAGTGGCACATGACTCTACATACAAGTTGCTATAATTAGAAAATAAAAATTTAAAACAATACCATTTATAATAGTATCAAAAAACAAATACCAAAGAATAAATCTAATGAAACATATACAAGACCTCTACACAGAAAATTATAAAACATAACTGAAAGAAATCAAATAACTGAATACACAATGGTTTCTACCATATTCACAGGTTAGAATACTCAATACTGTAAGGATGTCAATTCTCAAATCATCAAAAGACTTAATGCAATCCCAATCAAGAAACCAGCAAGGGGTGTGTGTGTGAAAAATGGCAAATCAATTTTACAATTTATTTGGAAATACGAAAAGCCAGAAGACAATCTTGAGGGTGAACAAAATTGGAAGACTTCATTACCAGCTATCAAGAGTTATAGCTTGGTGGTAGTAAACAAAGGATAGACAAACAGGCCAGTGGAAAAAAAATAGCACAGAACTAGACCAACACATATATAATCACCTTTTCAATGCTATGAAAAAGGAGAAATCAATATTCAATACATGATGCTGTGTAAATTTAGTATCCATATGGGGAAAAAAGAGCACTTGAAACTTCACATTATATACAAAATCCAATTTCAGTTGAATTGTGATCTACATGTGAAAAGTAACGTAAATGCTTTTAGAAGATAACACAGAAGAGTAACTTCATGACTCTGAGATAGGCAAAAATTCCTAACAGAAAATGAACAGTACCAACTACAAAGAAAAATACTGATAAATAGGAATTCATTAAAACTCAGAACTTCCGTTCATTTAAAAAAATCACCGAGAGAGTCCCAAAGGCAAGTCACAGAGTGTGAAAGCTATTTGAAACAATATATATCCTATAAAGGTCTGTATATCCAGAAATAAGAACTATACATCATTTTTTTAAATGGACACCAGATTGCAGTGGGTACTTTATCTCATGAATTACCAGATACCCAAACGGCTGATGAGTGAAAAGTACTCAACATCACTAATTTGCATTTTCCTACAAAGAGTACCACTACACACCCCAAGAATTGTTAAAATTTAAAACCTAACATTATTAAATAGTGGCAAGAATGTGGAGCAATGGGAATTCTCAGGACCGTTGGTGGAGGTGTAAATTTGTATAACCATTTGGAAAATTGTTTGGTAGTAGCTGCTAAAGCTTCTAACTTAGGAATTCTACTTTTAGGTCTATACAACAAAAAATGTACATACATTCACTATAAGACACTAATAAGAATGTTCATAGCACCATAATTTGTAATAGCCCCGAACTGGAAGCAACGCAAATGCCCACCAACAGTAAAATGAATTCTGGTATATTTATACAATAGAATATTATATGCTGCAATAATAAATAAGTGGTTGTTTCACATAGCAATATAATATTACAGACATTAATATTGGGGGTGGGTCAGATACTAAAGAATACATAATATTTATCATTCCATGTTAGTCAATGTCCAACGAACGTTTAGTTCAACACTAATAGGTTCCTACTAGCTTTAATATGAAAGCCTGACTAGTCTGAAGAATTTTTTCAGATATTCTATTGTCTAAATAAAGTATTTTTAGCTTAAATTTTAAAAAATATTTCAGATAAATGAAAGGCTGACAGGGACTTTATAAGTCTTACATCTATCTGTTTGATGCTATGGATAATTAAGAGTTTAAATTTTACCTAAAAGATCCTCCTTGGTATTCTTCAGGCAACAATTTTCCATCTCTTGCTTTCTTTGATAGAGCCTGAGAAAAATACAAACAGAATAGGACAACCAACAAAATGTTATACAGTTGATCTTGTCACTTGAAATATTTGTACATCATATACTCTCATCTCTGATATGCCTTGATTTGATTTTGTTACCTATATAAAAATAATTTTCTCTAATTATAAGAACAAACAAGAGCACAGATAATTCAAGAAACTAAAGCTGTTAATCAAAACTCTAGAAAAATCACTTCCTTTAACAATTTTTCAAATGTGGGAATTACCCTGTGTACCATCAATTATTATGCAAAATGCTTTAGAGTTTCCTATATGCAAAATGAAATTTTCTATTTTGCCTATAAAACTTTATGGTAAGAAAAAAAATACAAGAATCCATTCTGGTCAATCTAGTGTTTTTTAGTTTTTTTTTTTTTTTTTTTTTTGAGAAGTCTCACTCTGTTGCCCTGGCTGGAGTGCAGTGGTGTGATTATGGCCTATTGCAACCTCCATCTCCCAGGTTCAAGCAATTCTCTTGCCTCAGCGTCCTGAGTAGCTGAGATTTCAGGCACCCACCGCCACGCCCAGCTAATTTTTTATATTTTTAGTAGAGATGGGGTTTCACCATGTTGGTCAGGCTGGTCTCCAACTCCTGAACTCAAGTGATCCACCCACCTCGGCCTCCCAAAGTGGTGGGATTACAGGTATGAGCCACCATGCCTGGCCAATCTGTGTGTTTTAAATAAATTATCCAATGGCAACCAAAGTAGTATACCCACAATCCCACAACCAACATTCCGTTTTTATCTTTCAGAGTTTGCTTCATCTTTATCCACAATCTCAACCCCACACAATGGTTATAAAAAATAAATTTTATATTTAATTGTTCAATATTATATGTATCTTCTGTGTTGTCAGCCTTCAGAAATGATTTTTTAATGTTTGTTCCTAAAGACTGCACCTGCCTAATTTACTTGGTTATTTCCCAGTGTTATAATTTGGTTCACGGTTTCTTCTGAATTATTTCAGGTAAATTTTCAGAAGTGGAATTATAGTGCCCTAGAGAATAGACTTCTTTTGGTTCTTGATCCTATAGCTAAATCATTTCCTGAATGAGCTAGTCCAATTTACACTGCCACAAGGAATATAAGGATGTACTTGATTCATATCACTCTTGACCACAGCGATTTCTAAAAATCTTACAGAAGACAAGACAGATGACATATTAGTTAAATTTTCCTCTCACTTGTACTTGGAATTAACCACATTTCTGTTAATTTTTATTTTTCAGTGCTTAAAAGCAAGGGAACAGAGGTTGAGTCATCATATATAAAAAATTAATAACGAATTAACTTAAGAGGAAGGGTACAGAAAAATGAGGTCACTGTCATTTGGGTAGATAAAATAAATGTGGAATTTACTTAATATTTTGTATTACATAGGCAACATAGGCACTATTACAATCACAGTTGATAACTAACTTTAATTCATAGATGATTTAATTTTTTAAAATTGAAAGTCTTTAAAAATATCAAAAATCTAAAAACACATTACTGTAACGTACTGCCAACAGAAACAATTACAGGTGTATGCTATTTGGATGTGGTTATTTATAAAACTATTTGGATTCAAGGTAAAAAATGAGATGAATTTTGACTTATACAGTTCTTGGAATAACGGGAGAGAGAATAATCTATAAAAGCATTTTTCCTCCCTTAAGCAATGTAATTGTTCACATGATTTGAAAAGACACATATATGAACTTTAAAAGGCATTTTTTAAAGGCAGATGATCTCAACATATCCTGATGAACTACCACACAATTACCACAAATGAAAAAAACTCACTTTAATAAGTAGATTGCACGCACACATACTAAAAACAAAAACTCTGTAGATCCTAAATACATCAACAGGAAATTCCTGTCAGTGAACTCTAGTAAGTCTGAAATAGGTATGGAATCTGAGAAGGATCGTTGGTTTTATAAATTTGTAATCATCACTGGGATCTCCTGGCAATGTGGACTCAAAATCAAAGTACATGTTACCTGAAGCATCCAGCTGAAAGAATAAAAAATGACCACTAAATATTTCTACAATACATCGAATGCCTTGCTATTCATTAAAAAAATTTACTGGGTACTTATAAGGTAAACTATGCCTCTGCCTTTTAATACTGTTATAAGTAATGAAGAATTAAGAATAACACAGGATCCAAGGTGTGTCACTACATTACTTTATTCAAGGAATACCAACTTGAACTTGGCTGGGGTATGCCTACAGCCCCCACAGTGGCATCCTTGGGATTACAGAGGGTCAAGAAGTAAATGCGTAGTACAGATATTCTTAACTTGGGGTTCATGGATGAATCTGCAGAGAGCCACAAACTCTTGAAAAATTAATTTCAATGAAACAAGTTTTACTGAAATTTGTTTTAAAATAAATTCACCAAGCAACTACTGTATCCCAAGCACTCTTCTAGAATTAGATAAATGGCAATGGACAGTGAACATCAGACAGTAGGGAACACAGAAGGGTGAACAAATAAATAAACAAGGTAATTTCAAAGACTAATAAACCATATGAAGACAATAAAACAGGGTAATGAGATAAAGAGTGTTAGGAAACTATTTCAGCTACAGAAGCTGCAGAAGGCCTAAGAAATTAGCAACTGAACTGAGAAACCAATGATGAAAAAAAGCCAGCCAAGTGACGATCAGAGGGAAGTGTGTACTGGATAGTATGTCTCTTAGTGAGAATCCAGAGCTCAACCTGTCCATGATCCCACAGTCTTTTCAAAAAGACTACTCCTGCCTCACCAGGTAGAGAGCCTTGGTTTCTTTGCTGCAGGTTCTCTTATCCACTGCCTACTTGCTAAGACCACAACCTCACATTCCTCGGGGAATCTTCACTGCTTCTTTGGCAGAGTACTCTCCCGTTTGACTCAGGTCTCTTCTTTCTTAACCCTTTTTTTCTCCCAGTTGCATACAGTAGTCCCCCCTTATCTGCAGGGGATACTTCAAAGACCCACAGTAGGTGCCTGAAATGGCAGATAGTACTGAACTCTATACATGCAGTCATGTGCCGCATAAGGACACTTAAGACAAAGACATAAATATATGACAGTGGTCCCATAAGATTAAAATGGAGCTGAAAAATTCCTATCACACAAATACGTACCATTGTATCACTATTTCCTTATACTATTCAGTACAGTAATAGGCTGTACTGCAGGTTTGTACCATACAAAGCCTAGGCGTGTAGCAGGCTATCCCATCTAGGTTTGTGTAAGCACACTCTATGGTGTTCACACAATGACAAAATCGCCTAACCATGCATTTCTCAGAATGTATCCCTGCTGTGATGCATGACTGTACTATTTTTTCCTACTCATACACAATTATGATAAAGTTTAATTTAAAAATTAAGCATGGTAAGAGATTAACAATAACTAATAATAAAACAGAACAATTATAACTCTAAAAATCATGTGAATGTGGTCTCTCTCAAAATAGCTTGTACAGTACTCATCTATTTTCAACTGTGGTTGACCACGGGTAACTGAAACCACACAAAGTGAAACCTTGGATAAGAGAGAACTCCAATATTTCAAATTCCAAACCAAAAGATTGGTCTTACAGACACAGAAAACCAATGATTGTACTCCTTTTCTTCTACCTGGTGAATCAACTAATTATGGTGCATTTGGTATAACTGTTGAGTCCTTAGCTATTCTTCTTGTTAATTTCTGAAAATCCAGGAGCTGCTTCTCAAGTTTCTTTTTTTTTTTTTTTTGACAGAAAACATTACTGATTCTAGAAGGCTGATAACCTGACCTCTATAGTCATACAGTAGTTATGTAACTAGTATGTGGGAAGCAGCAAAGCTGAGTGGTTGGGAGGAGGCTCTAGTCTACAGTCTGATTGGGTTCAGATGCTGGCTACATCACTTAATAAGATTTGGGGCAAATTATTTAACCTCTCTTTTTTCCCATCAGTTGCTTCATCAACCATATCAAATTATTATCTTGTACTTGATAGGGTGGTTTTAAAGAGGATTAATATATATAAAAGGCTTACAGCAAAAACTGGTACAAAGTATGCCCGCTGCTATTATTGTTAGAGTTGTTAAAACATTAAGCAGTACAAATACTTCTAGAACTTGCATGTCTTTAAACAAGAGGATTACAAATACTATATTCATATATGAATTAGTTTTTTCTCTCTGGTCGGAGCAGATTTTACCCTGGAATTAAAATCATTCTAAATTTTATCTGTTTAAATACATAAACATTCTACTTTTTAAATAAGCCATAGTACAAAGCTTGATGTAGAAATACTGACGAGACTCAAACTGTATAAAATGGCACTACTATTCCATAAATGTAACATTTACTGTCTACCCTTTTTGGGGGATGCGGTAAAATATAACCACATTAAAGCACAGGACAGAAAATGCATTTATTACCAAAGGTGACTCACTACTATACGTGGACACTCAGGCAGATGCTGTTTTTTGCACAGTAAAGCTGAATTCAATATAATCTTGCTTAACTTGGAATTGAGTCAAAATCTATATTGGACGTGAAGAACACACACACACATACACACACACACACACACACTCAGGGTTTCTACTTGGTGCATACTTATTTTTAATGCCTATTCATCCACAGCAGCTAAATGAACATATCTCTATAGAGCCTATCTAAAATATTTAGTTTTTAAGCCACCGTTTAAACAATCCAACATTTAAGTTTTTAAGATAATCATGCTTACAAGATAAACCACTTCAACAAAAAACTAATTTTGCAGGAGCTCAGATCTCTCTCTCTTACACATACACACACACACATAAACTTTCTTTCTCTTTTGCTCTCTCTCTCTCCTGTAAACTACAGAACTATTATGTTAAATAGGCCATGCAAGGTGCCTGTTTCTCATGAGAGGCCTCAGTGTGCTTCAATGTCCCCTTATTTTTTCCGAGTACAACCAAAGGTGATTATATTCATCAGGTTGTTATGCTCTGTACCATGTGACACACTGGCCTGGCATGACAGACCTGCCCAGCAAGAGTACTTCATACAAGAAAGTACTACTTGAGGACCAAACCAAACCCTCCTTTCTGGTAACTTTGCGGGAGAAAAAGACAAAGGGGAGGTAAAGAAGTGAATGATTAGACAGGAAAAAAGAAAGGTAAACAGTAAAAGCAAGGAGAGAGGTGGTATAATAGAAAGCTCATTAAGCAGTGGCTCTAGAATCAAACTGCCTGGGTTAACTAGTCCTCATTGCCACTGCTTTCTAGCTGTATTGCCTTGGGCAAATTTATCAAAGTTGCTAAAACTGAATCTCCTCAATTTCATGGAGAAGTTAAGGTTCCAATTGTACTGGGTTAATAGGATTAAATGAAGCACTTAGCCCAGTGCCTGGCATAGCGTAAGAACAAGAGTGAAGAGAGCAGGGTGGGAAAGAGAAGCAGGTAGAATGAGAAGCTAACGGGCAGCCATAGCTCAGCAAACCCTGAGTCCCTGTTGGGGGTTACAGGAAATGCCCAAGGCCCGCCAGAGACCACTACACTCCAAAGTGGTATGACTGCCCTTCCCATTGCTGTGAGGCCCAACTGAGAGGCTGGTGAGACTGCGTTCTTACCTCTTAAACTTAGAGTCTTCAGGATGCAAGGAATAGAGAAAGCTAACATAACTACTTACGACTTATGTATTATAGCAGTAAATTTGGTAAATTGCTCAGAATCAAGGAAATCTTCCTATAATGGTTAATTTTTAAAATTTAATGTATATAAAAATAAGGAAATTCTAGCTCTACAATAAAGTTCCATAACATTATAATAGTACTTTATATTTTACAGGTTGTTTCAACACTTAATCTCATTTAACCTTCACAAAAACACAGACACAAATATTCTCATTGTCGCTGAAAACCCTTGATAAACACAAGGAACATACTATATCTCAGTAAACCAATCTCTATTACTTTGACTTTTGAACTGACCAAATAAACGCTACCTTTCTTTTTTTTTTTTTTTTTTTGAGATACAGTGTCTTGCTCTGTCATCCAGGCTGCAGTGCAAATGGCACAATCTCAGCTCACTGCAACCTCTGCCTCCCAGGTTCAAGCAATTCTCATGCCTCCGTCACGCGAATAGTTCAGATAATAGGTGTGTGCCACCATGCCCAGCTAATTTTTGTATTTTTAGTAGAAATGGGGTTTCGCCATGTTGGCCAGGCTGGTCTCAAATTCCTGACCTCAAGTGATCTGCCTGCCTCAGCCTCCCAAAGTGTTGGGATTACGGGCATGAGCCACCATGTGCAGCCTCATTTTTCAATTAACAATTGCATTTTTATCGATCAAACACTTTCTGCAAATCTTTTCAAAGAGGAGGGAAGAAAGACCTAAAAATATTGATTCTAGTAGGTTCACCTTTAATTATATCTACCTCTAAAATTCCAAGTAAACTCAGTATTTATGGGTATGCTTTTAAAACCAGATTAACTTGCACTTATTTCTTTTGAGCAAGAAGGTCTACACATTTATGTACTGTCGGCTCCCCAAAGAAGTCTTACGTTCTACCTCATATCTCCCTTATAAATATACAAATTGTTCTACCACTATACATACAACAGGTCCTTGGCAAATGGAAAGATAATCACTTACCCAAATGAATCAGAAATTTTCGATGCAATCACTTTAAGACTTGTGATACTTCTGTCAAAAAATACCCTTGGAAATTACTGAGGCTGTCAAAGCTGCCCTACTGCCTGTGTTCTTGCCTATTCGATGTACTATTTTTTGGTGAAATAAGATTCCTACACATTGGAGTTACAAAAACTGCTTTTCAAGAAATCCTGAAAAAATAAAGTAACTTTGCCTCTGGAACATTACGTCCATTTCTTTTTTGAGATGGAGTCTCATTCTGTTGCCAGGCTGGAGTACGGTGGCGCAATCTCGGCTCACTGCAACCTCTGCCTCCTGGGTTCAAGTGATTCTTGTTCCTCAGCCTCCCGAGTAGCTGGAATTACAGGCACGCGCCACCACACTCAGCTAATTTTCGTATTTTTAGTAGAGATGGGGTTACACCACGTTGGCCAGGTTGGTCTCAATCTCCTGACCTCGGGATCCACCCACCTCGGCCTCCCAAAGCGCTGGCATTACAGGCGTGAGACACCGCGCCTGGCCGCTAAGTTCTTTTAATGGTCTCAATTTTAGAGAAGAAGTAAATACACTTTAAGAATAAAATGTTATTAATATTGAGGTCCATAGAAATACAGTTTCAGCTTAACTTCAACTTTAAAACCTACCTGATATAGCATCTTTATGGCTGAATTCTGGACTTTGGAAAATAAAGCTTGTCTTTAGCATGAAGTTGTTCCCTAATTTGTTTATATATTATCTCTTAATTTTTGAATATTAAATTTTCTTACAATGGGTCATACTTGGATAAAAACTTTAAAAACCTATATATATGTGACAATCACTTGATGAAATAACTCTCCCCTTCACACACACAAAAATCACAGTCTGACTAGATTACGTCACAACTTTATCAGAAAGTAATTATCCAAAAGTATATGCTAACATTTTGAAAGCACACTCTTTCTTAAGACATACCTTTACAGAGTCAGCAATTTCCTGGATACCTTTAGCAGCAGCATCTTTTATGATTGGAGTAAGTAAGCCTTTATCTGTTGCCACAGCCACTGAAATGTCAATAAATGGCAGTTGCTTTGGGCCCTCTCCATCCCAGCTTACATTAACATCTGGCATTTGCTAGAAATAGAAAAAGAAAAATGTTACTAAAAAAGCAGCTTTAGACCAAGGCGGTTACAGAAAAATAAAATCATTGTGCATTTTCCAAAGTGAACATAGCTAGATAAGAGAAAATAAATAAAAATTTCGTTTGAAAAAATGGTATGGAGTTCTGTGTCAATTATCTTTTATGTTTGCCAAGAATAATTAAACATACCACCTTTTTGAAGCAAGTTTGAAGAAATTCTGATGAGGTACATGTTTTGATCCTTTATATCATGGTGGGGAAAAAGGGCTTTCTTTCCTGATTGCAAGAAGTTATTTAATGTCTGTTGTACTTCCTACCTCATATGATAACGAACATGATCTTGAGGGGAGGAGGAGAGTGGAAACAGGTAATAATATTAGATCACATTATTCCTTACTTTCTAGCCCAGCTCTGGGATATATATCAGCAGGCCCTCAATACATGACATCCCTATTTAAAAGAGATATCTGTTCCATTGGTCTATATCTCTGTTTTGGTACCAGTACCATGCTGTTTTGGTTACTGTAGCCTTGTACTATAGTTTGAAGTCAGGTAGCGTGATGCCTCCAGCTTTGTTCTTTTGGCTTAGGATTGACTTGGCAATGCGGGTTCTTTTTTGGTTCCATATGAACTTTAAAATAGTTTTTTCCAATTCTTTGAAGAAACTCATTGGTAGCTTGATGGGGATGGCATTGAATCTATAAATTACCTTGGGCAGTATAGCCATTTTCACAATATCGATTCTTCCTACCCATGACCATGGAATGTTCTTCCATTTGTTTGTATTCTCTTTTATTTCATCGAGCAGTGGTTTGTAGTTCTCCTTGAAGAAGTCCTTCACCTCCCTTGTAAGTTGGATTCCTAGGTATTTTATTCTCTTTGAAGCAATTGTGAATGGGAGTTCACTCATGATTTGGCTCTCTGTTTGTCTGTTATTGGTGTATAAGAATGATTGTGATTTTTGCACATTGATTGTGTATTCTGAGACTTTGCTGAAGTTGCCTATCAGCTTAAGGAGATTTTGGGCTGAGACAATGGGGTTTTCTAGATATACAATCATGTCATCTGCAAACAGGGACAATTTGACTTCTTCTTTTCCTAATTGAATACCCTTTATTTCTTTCTCCTGCCTGATTGCCCTCGCCAGAACTTCCAACACTATGTTGAATAGGAGTGGTGAGAGAGAGCATCTCTGCCTTGTGCCAGTTTTCAAAGGCAATGCTTCCAGTTTTTGCCTATTCAGTATGATATCAGCTGTGGGTTTGTCAAAAATAGGTCTTATTATTTTGAGATACGTCCCATCAATACCTAATTTATTGAGAGTTTTTAGCATGAAGTGTTGTTGAATTTTGTCAAAGGCCTTTTCTGCATCTACTGAGATAACCATGTGGTTTTTGTCTTTGGTTCTGTTTACATGCGGGATTAAGTTTATTGATTTTCGTATGTTGAACCACCCTTGCATCCCAGGGATGAAGCCAACTTCGTCGTGGTGGATAAGCTTTTTGATGTGCTGCTGGATTTGGTTTGCCAGTATGTTATTGAGGATGTTTGCATCGATGTTCATCAGGGATATTGGTCTAAAATTCTCTTTTTTTGTTGTGTCTCTGCCCGGCTTTGGTATCAGGATGATGCTGGCCTCATAAAATGAGTTAGGGAGGATTCCCTCTTTTTCTATTGATTGGAATAGTTTCAGAAGGAATGGTAACAGCTCCTCCTTGTACCTCTGGTAGAATTCGGCTGTGAATCCATCTGGTCCTGGACTTTTTTTAGTTGGTAAGCTATTAATTATTGCCTCAATTTCAGAGCCTGTTATTGGTTTATTCAGAGATTCAAGTTCTTCCTGGTTTAGTCTTGGGAGGGTGTATGTGTCGAGGAATTTATCCATTTCTTCTAGATTTTCTGGTTTATTTACGTAGAGGTGTTTATAGTATTCTCTGACGGTAGTTTGCATTTCTGTGGGATCGGTGGTGATATCGCCTTTATCATTTTTTATTGCGTCTATTTGATTCTTCTCTCTTTTCTTCTTTATTAGTCTTGCTAGCAGTCTATCAATTTTGTTGATCTTTTCAAAAAAACCAGCTCCCGGATTCATGGATTTTTTGAAGGTTTTTTTGTGTCTCTATTCCCTTCAGTTCTGCTCTGATCTTAGTTATTTCTTGCCTTCTGCTAGCTTTTGAATTTGTTTGCTCTTGCTTCTCTAGTTCTTTTAGTTATAATGTTAGGGTGTCAATTTTAATAATGCGGCATATCTACAACCATCTGATCTTTGACAAACCTGACAAAAACAAGAAATGGGGAAACGATTCCCTATTTAATAAATGGTGCTGGGAAAACTGGCTAGCCATATGTAGAAAGCTGAAACTGGAACTCTTCCTTACACCTTATACAAAAATTAATTCAAGATGGATTAAAGACTTAAATGTTAGACCTAAAACCATAAAAACCCTAGAAGAAAACCTAGGCAATACCATTCAGAACACAGGCATGTGCAAGGACTTCATGTCTAAAACACCAAAAGCAATGGCAACAAAAGCCAAAATTGACAAATGGGATCTCATTAAACTAAAGAGCTTCTGCACAGCAAAAGAAACTACCATCAGAGTGAACAGGCAACCTACAGAATGGGAAAACATTTTTGCAATCTACTCATCTGACAAAGGGCTAATATCCAGAATCTACAATGAACTCAAACAAATTTACAAGAAAAAAACAAACAACCCTATCAACAAGTGGGCGAGGGATATGAACAGACACTTCTCAAAAGAAGACATTTATGCAGCCAAAAGACACATGAAAAAATGCTCATCATCACTAGTCATCAAAGAAATGCAAATCAAAACCACACTGAGATACCATCTCACACCAGTTAGAATGGCAATCATTAAAAAGTCAGGAAACAACAGGTGCTGGAGAGGATGTGGAGAAATAGGAACACTTTTACACTGCTGGTGGGACTGTAAACTAGTTCAACCATTGTGGAAGTCAGTGTGGCGATTCCTCAGGGATCTAGAACTAGAAATACCATTTGACCCAGCAATCCCTTTACTGGGTATATACCCAAAAGATTATAAATCATGCTGCTATAAAGACACATGCACACATATGTTTATTGTGGCACTATTCACAATAGCAAAGACTTGGAACCAACCCAAATGTCCAACAATGATAGACTGGATTAAGAAAATGTGGCACATATACACCATGGAATACTATGCAGCCATAAAAAATGATGAGTTCATGTCCTTTGTAGGGACATGGATGAAGCTGGAAACCATCATTCTCGGCAAACTACCTCAAGGACAAAAAACCAAACACCGCATGTTGTCACTCATAGGTGGGAATTGAACAATGGGAACACATGGACACAGGGAAAGGGAACATCACACACCCGGGCCTGTTGTGGGGTTGGGGGAGGGGGGAAGGACAGCATTTGGAGATATACCTAATGTTAAATGACTTGTTACTGGGTGCAGCACACCAACACGGCACATGTATACATATGTAACTAACCTGCACATTGTGCACATGTACCCTAAAACTTAAAGTATAATAATAATAAAAAAAAAGATTTCATCAAATGATGAAATGCCTGGAAACCCTGCCTATTAATAATCTTGCCCTGTATCACAGGTGAAAATGATGCTGAAAAACAGAAACTGAAAACAAATTTCTGTTCTCAAAAATTCTTTGTTTTCTAAAGAAAAAGATCCAGGCCTCCTGGTATGTCATTTAAGCATGGCAATATACAATTTGATTCCACTCTATCTATCCCATTTTACTTGTGACCACTCCCCTGAGATGAATTTTCCACTTGGCTCACTGTCATGCTACGCTCATTTCCATTGCAAGGCTACCTTCACATTGCTTTTCAATTGCTCTTCCATTTTTCCATCTTTCAAGGCTGAGTTCCTTCACTCATTCAACAATATCATTATGTTAAAAGAATAAAGTCCCAAACCCTCAGAAGATTTGAAATTCTTCATAGACAACACTAAAGTAAAAGAGAAACTAAACAAAACCCTCATGAATGAAGAATATATGGCAAATAAATTTAATTACAAAATGTAAAGAAGACTTATGGGACACGGTCAAAGTTGCATTAAAAATCTATTATCTTAGGGCAATCCACTCGGGTCCCCTTCCATGCTGTGGAAGCTTTGTTCTTTTGCTCTTCACAATAAATCTTGCTGCTGCTCAAAAAAAAAAAAAAGAAACTATCTTAAACCTTATTAAAAAAAATTAAAATGAATTACACATTAAAGTTCTGACCAAAATGAATCTAAGGAAATGAAGGAAAAAATACATAACAAAACAATACAAGCTAAGAATATATAAATATGCAATAGAAGTGAGATAGAGGTCAGAATAACCCCAGGCACTGAGGATGTTAAAATAATTATAAGAAACAAAATGACTCTAGGCTAGTAAGTTTGGGAATCTAAATTAAATGAGTGATTTTCTGGGAAAATATAAGCTTTTAAAATTGATTTTTTAAAAAAGCTGAAAATTAAAACAGATCAGTAATTATGGTGAAAGAAAAAAAAAAAGGGAAAGCTGCCAAGATCCCCTCCTCAAAATAGAAGCAGGTTCAGATATTTTTACTGGTGAATTCTATGAAACTAGAAAATATAAAAAAATTTATAATATTGAAATGTGTACAGAGGAAAGAAAAGAAGAAATAATCCAAATTCATTTAATGAAGCCAATGATTAGGGAAAAAAGGTCTGATAATGTTGGCACAAAATTTAAATTACCACTACTTATGACTCTGGATACAAACATTATCCAATGAAATATTAACGAATAGCTTATGCCCATTAGAGATTTATTTAAGGAGTGCAAAAATGATTCACAATTAATGATATCAATCACAATAATAGTCAATTAATTAAATCATTAATATAATTCAAAATATTTCATCAAAAGAGAAAAGTTATATGAATAATTAGATACTGCTGAAAGGGCATGCTTTTTAAGTTCTGTATTAATGTAATTTTCAGAATACAGAGTGCTAACCATTACACCATGGAACCCTCATTAATGTATTTTTCAAGAAATAAAAAGTTAATTATAAATGTACTTTAAATACAGTCTGTTAACAAGCAGTGATCCCAGAAAATAGCCTCGTTACAGAAAGGAGGCATGATGAAAAATAGTGCCAGGCAGGAAGGCAGGAAGCCTGGGTTCTAGATTTACAACTCCAGCCAGCTAGGTTTACATCACCTCCACTGAACTGCAGGCTCATATGTTCACCTGCCTTCCTGCCACCTCCACTGGAATATCTGTTAGGCTCCTCAAATGTAACATGTCTAAAACCAAACTCTAGATTCCTTAACCCAAAGCTATACCCCTCCCAGTTTTCCCAATCTTAGTACATGGAAAACTCATTCCTCCCATTGCTTGGGCCAAAATGCTTGTTTCTCTTTCTCACACCCCATATCCAATCCATCAGCAAATCCTGTTGGCTCTACTTTTGAAACATAACACAAATCTCCACTTCACCCTAGCTCCATTTGCTACCACATTTGTCCAAGCCACTGTGATCTTCTAAAGCCTCCCAGGGGAGCTCATCGTCTCCTCCCTTGCCTCTCCACAGGCTACATTCTACACAGCACCCAGGGCAGCCTCTCCTTTTCGTTTCTGAAGTATAAGTCAGATCACATTAGTTATTTGTTCAAAACCCTCCAAAGGCTTCCTTCTCACCCATAATAAAATCCCTAGTCCTCACCATGTCCAACAAGGCCTCATGTACTTGGGTTCCCCTTCATGCTCTCCCACTGTTATTTAAATCTTATCTCCCACCTCTCCATACTAGGCACATTCCACCCTCAGCACCACATCTTTGGTTAATGCGATCCTCTGCTTGCAGCCTTGGTGTTTGCTGGTCCCTCTGTGTGGAATGCACTTTTACCACATACCTATGTGGCTCACTCCCTCTGTTTTCTCAGGCCGTATCTAAATTATCGCCTTGTCAGAGGGGCTTCCCTCGCTTCCCTTTTGAAAAATCACCCCTAGTTACTTTGTCCCCTTATCCTTTCTTTTTCTCCTCAGCACTTTCACCATCTGACATATAATAGTGTTTGTCTCCTCCAACTAGAATGTAAGCCCCAGGGACAGCAGAAATCAAGTAAGCTTTTGTTTACTGCTCTATCTCTAATGCCTAGAATAAATGGTTTTCATCCTGCTCTAATTCATTGTGAGCCCTTTTGATTTACAGTTTCTTCATTTGTAAAATGAGGGAGATCAAACGATAGGATATTTTTAGCAAGACAATTATAAAATTTTTGTGATTTAAAAATAAGAGTTCTATTTGTCATTGTAAAAATTCCACGACATGAAACTACTTAAGAAGACAAAATCATTTGAAGTCTGCTACTTACTTTAAGGGTAACAGCTGCTGCCTTGATGATAAAATCATTTACTGATACTTTAATGTCATCTGAAAGAAAAATAAGGTTAGTAAAATTAGTATTCCTAATATAACTTTAACATTGACCATTACAACTTCAAACTTGTAAATTATGGAATGTACTGACAAACAATGATAAAAAATTACAAGCTTTTGTTTGCTTAGTCAATAAGGTTCCCATGATTAGAAAAACTTGCATTATATGAGGTCCTGGATCAATAATATTAACCATGAATGTAAGTTTACTTCTGGGCCTTGGTTATCAATTTTTTAAATTGCTTAGATATCATACACAAGAACCTGAAGGACCCATTACAAGCATAATCAGAAAAAAAGAACTAACTCCTATGTCTCGAAAAAGACAAATGATCTCTCTGTGGTGTGTGCAGTCAGGAAGTTTACAAGATGATTCATTTTCTTCCTCGTTCTTTTCAAATACCCTTATTCTCTGTATGCTTTATAACATACTGATTATACTAGAACAGTGATACATGTAGGTACTTTATATATAAACAGTTATATATACACATATGGGAAAGTGTTCGAAAATTTCTTTTTACTAATGGGGTGTAGGTGAAAAAAAATTTAACTGCTTTTTAACTTAACAAAACAGGATATAACAAAAGCCAAAGATGAAGCAATGCTGGCATAGGTCCTAGTGTGATTAATAAAATGAGGTTCTCCATCCATAGTTTTATGGTGAATGCATTTGAATCAATTTCTTTCCAGTATACATAATGATTTTAAGATAAAGCTGGGGTCCTCCCACTTCCTACGAGCTGATCATAACTAAAGTATTTGTTTATGTCTTTGCATTTGCCACTGGGTATAACAGTGTTAGAAAATGTAAACAACACTTGATTCTTTCTTGCAAGAGCTTATAGAAAAAGACTCTAAGATCTAGATCTAGTCAGTGGTATGTGGCAAAAAACCTATCCTATTACTAAAGTATCACGGAATTTTAGGTGAATAACAGCTCATTCCAAAGGCATCCTGGAGACTACAGAAAGGGATTAGATGAATTACCATAAACCTAAATACTGTCAAACTGTCACGATAACTGTCAGCTGCAAAGTATCAAAGCTCCTCTAATTCAGAATTCCAGAAATATATAAACATTTTTGCTTAAAACCCCTTTAGGAATAGAAATATAAATGGACTTACAGTGCTTACAAGCTTTTAATGATAACCACATAGAAAGATTTGGTTTGTACAAATTCAAATGTAACAGTTCATGAACTTACTCTGCTTACCTTTCATGGCTCTCTCAGCTTTCTCTTCACTTTATCTACTTACCCACAGGTATTCACAGTGAAGACTTCTAAAACCATCTGCCAGCTAATGACCCCCAAACCTACCACCTAAGTCCACAGTCCTCACTTAAAATTCTGTATTCAGCATACTCCCACATTTAGGAACATTCTTGAGTTGAATGAAATATATTCTTTTACTGGCTCCTATGTCACTATACTCTCCTGGTTTTCTTCCACTTTCTGCCCACTCACTCATTTTTATTCCTTTCCTCTCAATGTTGGCATCTCCCCAGGCTAGAAGTTCCAGTTCCAATTCCAAGGTTTTGATACCATTTATATAATGATGACTCTTCCAAATTCTACCTCTAATTCTGAGATACTGAGGCTTCAGACTTGTATATCCAACTTCTCACATGAAATTTCTACTTGCATCGCTTACAAGCATCTCAAATCTAACATGTGTAAAGTAGGTTTCTCTTTGAATTCCTTTATTTTTAACTCTTTATAATGGAGATTTTCCAAACATATTGAAAGGAGATGCTGTTACATTTACTGAGTAGAAAACAGTTTGTAAGGTAATATCAAACATTCTCATTTACACATTGTCAAGACAGAAAAGCAAAGTGTGAAGCATGCATACAGAATGTTATGTATTGTAACTTTATATGAGAAAGAGGAGTGAAGATAGATAATGTGGGGTGTAAAGATTTTTAAGAAAATTCCTAATTACCAAGGTGTACCAAAACTGGACCATGCAAAGATAATAAACTAATCCATATCTCCTCTGAAATATTACTGTTTTCTGCCTTATTAGAGTAAGAAAACAGGAAAGTGATTCCCATATTAACCTCTATATCATGACTAAGCAAGTATGATCTGAGAACTACAGGAGTGTTTCCAGGGTTCATTTTTTAGAAACTTCTCACTTTCTTTAAAATAGCTTTCCATTTAGTTCCTTGAACTTTTAAAAGCTCTCAAGTTGTCTTTATATGAAATCTTGAAACTCTGTATATAAACTGATAAAAGTCCTGCTTTCACCTGGGATGTAGAAAGTTGCAAAAGAAAGCTGTTCCCATCCTGACAGGGTGAAAGAAAAAGCAGGATAAATTACAAAATCGTAACTTTTCTTGAGCTCATTAGGGAGCGGAGGTTACAAAGCAAACAGGTGAACTGAATGCCAAAGAGTGATAATCCACTCAGAGGAGAGACAAACACAGGAAGTAAATACCCACTGTCAGAGTACAGGAGTAAAGAGGGCAGAGTATGGTACAACATGCATAAACAGATGGCGACTAGCAGCAGAGAAATGGAAACTAAAAAAACATTCAATTGGAAATCCAGAGGGGAAAATCCATGCTAACCAAGATAAAAAATATATATTTTGCTAAGCTTTGCAGACACAGCTAAGAAATCAGTGAACTTGAAGCTAGGTAAACAAAAATTATCCAATATGAAACATAAAGAGAAAAAAGAATGAACAAAAAAAATAGAGCATTTAAGAGCTTTGGGCAATTCAAAAAGTCTAACATTTAAAATTGGAGCCCCAAAGAGAAACCACATGGAACAGAAGATATCATTAAAAATAACTGGAAATTTTTCACAATTAAAGGAAGACAACAAACCATACATCTAAGAAGCTGAGAGAAACCCAAACAGTAAATACAATAGAAAAAAAAATCTAGGCATACAATAGCCAAATTGGTAATGCAAAAATCTTGAAAGCAACCAGACAGGTGGAAAACATCATATACAATGGAACAAATATTAAGAACGGCAGCAGACATTCTAAGACAGAAAATAAAGAAATAGTATCTTTATTTAAAGAACTGAAACAAAACCCCTATTAACTGAAAAATCTATATCCAGCAAAAATAATTCTTAAAAATGATAAAGATATATCCATTAGGGTGACTACTATCAAAAACCAGAAAATAACAAGTATTGGCAAAAATGTGGAGAAATTTCAACCTTTGTGCACTTCATTTTTGTTTTTGGAGACAGGTCTTGCTCTATGAGCCAGGCTGGAATTAAGTGGTGCAATTATAGCTCACTGTAACCTCCAACTCCTGGGCTCAAGCAATCCTCCCACCTCAGTCTCCCAAGTAGCTGGGACTACAGGCATATGCCATCTGCCCGACTAGTTTTTCAATTTTTTTGTAGAGATAGGGTCTCGTTCTGTTTCCCAGGCAGGTCTCGAACCCCTGTCCTCAGCCTCCCAAAGTGATAGGATTACAGGGATGAGCCATCATGCCTGACCCATTGGTGCGCCATTAGTGGGAATGCAAAATGGCACAGCCACTAAGGAAAACAGTATGGTAGCTCCTTAAAAAATTAAAAATAGAATTATCATATAATCCAGTAATTCCACTTCTGGGGATATACCTAAAATATTTGAAAACAGAGACACAAAGAGATATTTGTACAGCCACGTTCACAGCAGTATTATTCACAATAGCCAAAAGGTAAAAACAACCTAATGTATTTATCCATTAACACATGAATTAACAAAGTAGGGTAGATACATACAATGGAACACTGTTCAGCCTTAAAAAGGAAATTTTTATACATTCTGCAACATGCATGAACCCTGAAGACATAATGCCAAGTGGAATAAGCCAGTCACAAAAGGACAAGTACTATATGATCCCACTAATATGATGTACTTAGAATCATCAAATTTATAGGAACAGAAAGAAGAATGGTGATTGTCAGGGGTGGTGGGAAAGAGGAATGAAGAGTATACAGAGTTTCCATTTTGCAGGATGAAAAACGTTCTGCAGATGAATGGTGGCAATGGTTGCAAACAATGTAAATGTACTTAATGTCAACGAACTAACTGTACACGGAAAATGGTAAGACTCATGTTATATATTCAACTACACTTTAAAAAATTGTTTTAAAAAGGAACAATGTGAAAGACAAAATAGACTTTTTCAGACAAAAACTGAGAAAATTTATTGTCAGTCAATCTGTACTATAAGAAGCATTAAAGGAAGTTCTTTGGGTAGAAGTATAATAGCAGACAGCACTTTAATTCTATACAAAGAAATGAAAAAAAGTACAGATAAATATAAAAGACATTTTTTCCCTCATTTTAAAACTCCAAAAGAGTTTATTTGCTAAAGCAAAAAACATTAAACATGTATTCTGGGGCTTACATCATATATAGAAGTAAAACATGACAACAGCAGTACAAAATATGAGAGGGAGGAAGTGCAAGTATATAGTTATGAGGTTCTTATATTAAACATGGAGTGGGGTGTAATACAATTTGAAGCCAGGCCGTGATAAATTAAAGAATTACATTGTAAACCCTAAGAAAACCATTGCAAAGCAGGTAAGAAGAGAAAAAAGAAGATAAAATGAATAAATACAATAGAATGATAACAAAATAAGTAACCAAAAAGATAAGGAAAGAAGAATAAAAGAGGTGGGACAAAGAGAATGCAAAGAAAGAACAAAATGGTAGATTTAAATCCAACTATCCCATTAAATGTGAGCGGTCTAAACATCTTAAGAGACTAAAGAATTGGATAAAATAGCAAGAACCAACTACACGCTGCCTTCAAGAAACCTACTTAAATAAACATATTTACATTTAAAAAGTAAAAAGATGCAAAAAGATATACTATAGAAACACGAGTCAAAGAAATCTGCAGTGGCTACAGATGTGATAAAGAAGGCTTGAGGATAAGGAATATTACAAGGAATAGATAAGGACATGACATAATAACTGGTCTGTTCAAGAAAACAAAATTCCTAACTGTGTATGTGGCCAATAATAGATCTTCAGGATACATGAAGCAAAAACCGACAGAGCTGAAAGGAGAAACCACAAATAAACAATTATAATGAGGAATATCAACACTGCTCTCAAAAGACATAAACAACACTATTAACCAGCTTGGCCTGACATTTATAGAACATTCCTTTGCAAAAATAAAAAAATTCTTTTCAAGAACACATACCAAGACAGACCATACTACAAACATAAAATAAATATCAACAAATTTAAGAAAACTGAAATCATATAAAGTGTGTTCTCTAAACACAATGTAGTTAAGCTAGAAATCATAAAAGAGAAATGAATAGTTCTCAAATATTTTGAAATTAAGTGCACACTTACAAATAACTCATCGATCAAAGAAATCACAAAATAAATAAATGAGAAAACATTTTTAATTGAATAAAAGGAAAAATAATGCCAGGCGTGGTGGCTCACACTTGTAATTTCAGCACTTTGGGAGGCCTAGGTGGGTGGATCACTTGAGGCCAGGAGTTTGAGACCAGCGTGGCCAACATGCTAAAACACCGTCTCTAGTAAAAATACAAACAATTAGCCAGGCATGGTGGTTTGTGCCTGTAATCCTAGCTACTCAGGGCACTGAGGCGTGAGAATCATTTGAACCCAGGAGGCGGTGGTTGAAGTGAACCGAGATCGCACCACTGCACTCCAGCCTGGGTGACACAGCAAGACCCTGTCTCAAGAAGAAAAAAAAAAAAAATCAACATTTGTGGGATACAGCTAAAGCAGTGCTTAAAGATAATTCAAGAGTACTATATGCTTATATTAAAAAATAAAGGTCTCAAATAAATGATCCAACTTTTCACCTTAAGAAACTAGAAATAAAAGAGCAAAGTAAACTGAAAGCAAAGAGAAAAAAAAAATAAAGAACAGAAATCAATGAGATCAGTATCACAGAAATACTAGATAAGTTAATAAAACCAAATGCTGGTTCTTTGAAGAGATCGAGATCAACAGAACTGATAACCCTTTAGTCAGAGTGATCTAGAGAGTAAAACACACAAATTACTAATGTCAAAAACAGAAACATTACTTCAGATAAAATGACAGTATAATAAGGTAATGTGGTGAATAACTTTATGCCAATAAATCTGGTGACTTAGATGACACAAATTTCTTGAAAGACACAAACTACCAAAATTCATTCAAGAAAAAAAAAGCTGCACCCATTTTTAAAATAAAATTCATAGTTAAAAACCTTCCCATAAAGAAATTCACTAGTGAATTCTACTAAACAATTAAAAAAGAAATAATACCAATTGTATCCAAACTCTTCCAGAAAATAAAGGAGGAGGACATGTTTTCCAACCCATTCCACTAGATAAGATAACAAATCTGAAAAAATGTCTCCAGAAAAGAAAACTACAGGTTAGCATTTCTCATGGGCATAGGTGTAAAGATTCTAAACAAAATTTTAGGATACAGAATCAAACAATATATGAGAAGGTTAATCATTAAGTGGATTTTATATGAGGAATACAAAGTTGATTCAACATTTGAAAATCAACCAATGTAATTCACCTTATTAACAGACAGAAAAAGGAAAAGTTATCTGAAAAGATGCACAAAAAGTATTTGAGAAAATTCAACATCTATTCATGTTTAAAACTCTCTGCAAGTTAGGAATGGAAATTCTTTCAACCTGAAAATAATATTCTACAAAAAACCTATAGCTAACATAAAAGACTGAATGCTTTTCCCCCAAAATCAAGAACAAGGCAAAAATATCTGCTTTTACCATCTATATTCATTATACCAGACAGAGGTCCTAGTCAGTGCAATAAGACAAGAAAATAATATAAAGGCCATATAGGTCAAAAATAAAGAAATAAAACTATCAGTTCATGCTAAAAAATCTGTATGTCTCTCAGCAACCTTATTTATAATTGATTTTTGGAAGAAATATTACAAATTTAATAATCTGTAAATGCATTCTGAACAAGAAATATAAAATCAAAATTTGTATAAAGAAGAATATATAAGATATTTATAATCTAAAACATCCTTAAAAGTTTTGGATTTTAAACTTAATGAAATATTGACTGCTTTGTTTAAATACCATACCAAAAAATATTCAAAACAAAAAATAACCATTTGGTCTACACAACTCATTCATGTGTTCTTACAAAAAAATTGACCTATGTAAATGCTAAAGCACACCAAAACATTAAGCCCACTTTTGCTTTTAAAAAAACTAACCAACCAAATTATAGTACTTCAGATTTCAGTATCCCTTATCCAAAATACTTGGAACCAGAAGTGTTTCAGATTTCAAAATTTATTCAGATTTTGTAATATTACATTTACTGTTTTGGCATCTCTAGTCCAAAAATCCAAAATCTGAAAAGCTCCAATGAGGACTTCCTTTGAGCTTCATGTTGGCACTCAAAAAGTTTCACATCTTGAAGCACTTTGAAGTTTTGGTTTTGGGTTGCTCAACCTGTATTTTTAAAGCTCAGTATGTAACAGAGAATTGAACTCAGTAATTGCCTGCTAAATAAATGTTAACTAACTGTACATTATTCAAATATGACAAAGAGGAAATAAAAGCAAGGTAGAACAGAATGCTTTTTTCTGCATAAAGGCATCTGTGATTTATTTAATACTGTGGAACCAATTCACTTTTTCAAGGAAACCATTGCTAATTTTTTTCCTCTAGCACAAATATACCCAGAGTAGAGTGCAAGTACATTATGAAATTGAAATTAAAAGCTACACAATGTAGCTTTTAATTTTATAATTTTATAAAGGATTTCATGAAAGTTAAGTTAGCATGTGTTTTGTATTAAGTAAATTCAATTTTACTAACCTTTGACCAGATCTTGCCTAACTTTTAAAACAGCTCCAAGGTCACAGTCAGCAGTAGCATATGCATGAGGTACAGTACTTTTAGATTCAGTTAATCTCTTGGCAATAACTCTTCGAATATTGCTGGCGGGGATTTCAGTGAATGTGCCCTGCAAAAAGACAGCAACCTGTCCGTTAAACCACAAGTGGAATAGAAAAATAAAACAAAAAACAAGCAACTTTATAAATGAAAAGAAATTCATTCTCAATGACCTAACTTATTAATTAAAGATTAACACAAGAAAAGCACTATTAAAATTCTTAGTATAAGGGAAGAATATAAAAAATCTGAGACGCTTTGGTTTTATAGCATATAACTACAGAAAAAAGTAATAAAATTCATGTTTCAATTGTGAATGGGATATCTTATGTTACTATATTTAAGATGATAAGAAAGAAACCTACCAAATAATGAACAATTCCTTCACAGGTGTGTTTGTGTGTGTATATATACGTACACACACACATACCACACACACACAAGGAGCAATATATGTGTGTGTACATACATACACAGAGAGAGAGAGGAGAGAGAAGACAGACATAGACATACACCATCTGTAAGCAGCTTTTGTTACAAATATCACTTAATAAAACTGAAATGGGCTGGGCACGGTGGCTCACACCTGTAATCTCAGGATTACTTTGGGAGGCTGAGGCAGGTGGATCATGAGGTCAAGAGTTCAAGACCAGCTTGGCCAACATGGTGAAACCCCATCTCTACTAAGAATACAAAAATTAGCTGAGTGTGGTGGCGCGTGCCTGTAATCCCAGCTACTCAGGAGGCTGAGGCAGCAGAATCACTTGAACCGGGGAGACAGAGGTTGCACTGAGCCAAGATCGCGCCACTGCACTCCAGCCTGGGCGACAGAGCAAGATTGTTTCGGGAAAAAAAAAAAAAAGAAAAAAAACCACCTGAAATAAAACAGCCAATAAATCAACAAACCAACTATTAATATATAGTTGCCCTTTGACTTATGATGAAGTGACACTCTGATGAACCCATCGTAAGTTTAAAATATCATAAGTCAAAGTGCATTTAATACACCTAACATACTGAACATCACAGGTAAGCCTTAGCATAGCCTACCATAAATGTGCTCAAAACATTTACATTAGCCTATAGTTGGGCAAAATCACCTGGCTACACAGTACACTGCAGAGCAGTGGTTGTTTGCCCTGATGATCACATGGCTAACTTGGAGCTGTGGCTAGCCGCTACTGCCCAGCATTGCAAGGAAATACTGCACTGCTTTCTACTGAATGTGTATCACTTTTACACCATCGTGAAGTCAAAAAATTATAAGTCGAACCATCTTTTCAAGTACACATGGAACATCCACCAAGACAGGCCATGTTATAAATATAAAATAAATCTCAATAAATTTGAGAAGATTGTTTTAAAATGAAGTGTGTCTCAAAGTGTATTCTCTAAACACAGTGGAGTTAAACTAGAAATCATGAAAGGTAACTGAAGGGTCTTCCAATATTTTGAAATTAAATTCACACTTATAAACAACTCATGGATCAAAGAAATCACAAGGGACATTAGAAGATTAGGGACCTTCTATACAGGCAATTCAATTATTTCTATTTGGATTTGTAATTTTTAAAAATAACATGAGTATCTTATTTCTTACAGATTCATAATAGAAAGTATGAATGAGATAATAAAATATTCCTATAACTTCACTGTAGTTTTTCCATTCTGTTCCTTGGATCTCTCAAAAAAGCATGACAGATTTTAAATTATATCTAATTCCTTTCTTGTCCTTCACTCTATTTTGGGATTTCATTACAATCACTTCAAGATAATACAAAGCAAATGAAAGTGCGGCTGATTTCATTTTTACAAATATCATTAAGAAATTAAACATTTTATGTTAGCAAAGTACTTGGTCAAGTAGAATAAATGCTCTCTACATACCATAAGAATTTGAAAGTAAGGTTTACCTCCTTAATTTGAATAACTTTTTTTTTTTTTTTTTGAGATAGGGTCTTCCTCTATTACCCAGGCTGGAGTGCACATAGCTCACTACAGCCTCAACCTCCCAGTCTCAAGTGATTCCCCAATCTCCACCGCCTGAGTAGTTGGACTACAGGCACACACTACCACATCCAGCTGATTTTAAAATTTTTTTGTAGAGATGAGGTCTCACTATGTTGCCCAGGCTGGTCTTTGAATGCCTAGGTGCAGGCAATCCTCCCACCTCAGCCTCCCAAAGTGCTAGGATTACAGGTGTAAGCCACCACACCCAGCCTTGAATAACCTACTTTTAAAAGACATATGATTGAATTATACATATTTCATAGTCCATATACATTATATAGTCAAAGAGTGGACTATACACTCAATATACATAGTATCTTATCCAACTGCATGTCCTTAAAGAGCAGGTTATTCAAGTATGCAGTATATTAATCATTAATGGATATTTAAAAATCTGTTTCCCATGAAAGTTGTACTGTTTTCAACTCTTTTAAAATATCATATGGTATATAGTTCTCCACTAGGAGTACACATTTATCTATTTATTTTTTTAAGTGCCCATTCGATTTTAAATAAACTGGGCTATCCTACATTTCTTCTGATAGGAAGAAAATAACCTGAATAGGAAAGGCACAGAGAGGCAAAATGGAGTAATTTGAAAACAAAAAGGGGCTGTTATACTGCATGCATCTGAGAAGGAAAGAATGACTAGCTACATAGTTCTTCATAGTGAGATTATCAATTCCCTAGTTAAAAAGTAGAACATATCCACAAAAGGGAGCTAGTGTCAGCTACTAATTATTAGTATCACACTTAAGACATGAAACATGAGATTGTAGAGAATATATATGTTACTGAAGTTGTGGAACTTGTGGTAACTTTAAATTGAATTATAGTTCTAATGTTTATTTGGAAGTTAACACACAAACAAATTTTGGTTTCTGATAGGAAATCTGTAAAACAAAGCATTTGGAGTGTTTTATCCTTATCACTTAGCTACTATTGAAACGGATTAATAAAACTAATCTGTTTTAAATCTACTCTTAAAACACATAGTAATTGTTCTTATTTTCTCTCTCACACTTGAATCTGAAAAATAAAAATCTAGGCCAGGTGCGGTGATTCACACCTGTAATCCCAGCACTTTGGGAGGCCAAGGCGGGTGGATCACCTGAAGTCAGGAGTTTGAGACCAGCCTAGCCAACATGGTGAAACCCCGTCTCTACTAAAAATACAAAAATTAGGTGGGTGTGGTGGTGCGTGCCTATAATCCCAGCTACTCAGGAAGCTAAGGCAGGAGAATCACTTGAACTTGGGAGGCAGAGGCTGCAGTGAGCCAAGATTGTGCCATTGCACTCCAGCCTGGGTGACAGTGCAAGACTCTGTCTCAAAAAAAAAAAGAAAAACAAGAAAAAGAAATAAAAATCCACTTAGAGAACACTACCACTGCATTGGGTTGTCCAGGAGTTGATACTGGTGGGATCACAGGCCGGGGATAAGATGGTCCAGCTGTGGCCTGTAGGGGCGAAGGTGCTGTGGGAGTGGCTGTGGGGGCTGGAGTTGGTCTGGACTCGGTAATCTTGCCCGTTTGTTTCAACTGGACAAGTTTGAGAGCATCCCTGGAAATAAGAGCAAAGTAGATAACCATAATTAGCAATAAGGAATATAACAGAACTTTCAGAAAACGCAGGTGAGATGTGGAGAAAAGATACAGAAATATACAGATGTCAAGGTTATAATTAAAAACCAGTAATTTGAGCTAGAAAATTAAATCCTGTCTCTTACCTGGTCTGCTGACCATTATTTGTCACGTTCTAATATTTGCATATTTTCAAAAGCCAAACAATTAAAATGTTATTAAAATTGGGCATAAGTAGTGATTTTTAAAAAGGAAATTAGTCTTTTTTTCTGTGCAGTGGACGTTATTTGGTAGATGAACAATTAATTAAACCACTCTCATCCTTTATACTCATGAAATAATATTCACATGGCATTCAAAAAGTGTCAAGTTTATTGTAAATATGGCTTTCACCAGGATACTTCCTACATCATTGTTCACTTATTGTTTATTCATTGTTTATTATAGTGCAAATCAGCTTATTTATGACCAGGAAATCAAACCATTTTTAATTTTGCTAATATGCCATCAGTACAATCTAATATAACAAATCTAACCTATGATATCTTTTAGAATGAAAAATAACTAGTTACAGACTTGCCTTTGTATTACTCTGTAAAACAAAGGTATTTTTGTCTTGTAAGAGGATATAATTAGATTACTAAATATGCTAAGCCCTCAACTCACTATGCTAAGTTACAGTGGTATTAGGCAATATATTTTCTTAAAATAATTTTTGGAACATTTTAATATCCAATAAGTATTTTGGAAAGTATTTTTTCCAATTTAAGAAAAAAAATTGTTTTATATAATCTAAAAAGAACTTCAGGATGACACAAAATCTAAGGAAAAATTATTTCTCAGTTAATATTTTGGTATTATTTTTCCAAAAATTTGATGAAAGATAAAAGCTAGCACCTGTTGAGCATATTTGAGAAGACCCCTTTACTTATGGCAACATGGTAGGAAGAATTCTGAGATGGCCCCAATATTCCTGCCCCTGGTGTACATGCCCCATATCATCCCTCTTGACTGTATCTGGCCTGTGAATATGATGGATGTCACTCCCATTATTAGGTCCTATTATGTGACAAAATTGGTGGCATTTTATAGATATATGAGGCTCCAAATCAGTTGCATTTGAGTTAACCAAAAGGCAAACTACCCTGGAGAGGGCAGATATATCAGGTAATCTCTTAAAAGAAATTAGGCCTTCCTGGAAGAAGAGACTTGAAGTAAAGAGATAAAACTGCTGGCCCGGGAGAAGCAAACATGCATGTTGTGAACCGCCTATGGAGACCACGCATGGCAAGGCCCTGCACGTGGCCTCTGGGAGCTGTCAGTGGTTCTTGGCTGAGAGCTAGAAAGAAAACAAGGGCCACAGTCCTACAGTCCCAAGGAACTGCATTCTGTCAACAACCACATGAGCTTGGAAGAGGACCCCAAGCTTCACATGAGTCCCCAGCCTTGGCCAACACTTTGATTTCAGCCTTGTGAGACCATGAGTTCAGAACCTGGCCATGCTATGCCAGGACTTCTAACCTATTGAACTGTTAGAAAACAAACAGGTATTATTTTAAGCTGGTAAGTTTACTGTAACTTGTTATGCAATAATAGAATATCAACACAAGCAGGAACAGTCTAACTGGGGTGCAAAAATCTGTATCGTTAATGCCCGAATACATCTATTTAAAAAAAAGGTTGCTGACACTAAATTGACACATTTTTAGCATAACTATTACTTATTAGCATATTTAGTAATATGTAATATTTAGTTATGCTAATAATATGCTAATAGCTAGCTAATATTAGTTATGCTAATAGCTAATATTAGTTATGCTAATAGCTAATATTAGTTATGCTAATATTACATATTTAGCATAACTATTACTGCTACTTTATTTTTTAAAAAGCAGTTTAGTTTTATCTCTGTAGTAATTAAGGTTCTTGGGTAGGTTAATCATAAAGAAGCAAGAACAAAATTGCTTCTTCTTGCTCACAAAAACTTGTATTGCTGATTTTATTTTTTTTTTATTTTTTAAAGAGTCTCACTCTGTCACCCAGGCTGGAGTGCAGTGGCGCGATCTCAGCTCACTGCAACCACCGCCTCCAGGGTTCAAGAGATTCTCATGCCTCAGCCTCTTTAGTAGCTGAGATTACAGGTGTGCATCACCACGCCTGGCTAATTTTTATATTTTTAGTAGAGATGGGGTTTTACCATGTTGGCCAGACTGGTCTCAAACTCCTGGCCTCAAGTGATTCGCCAGCCTTGGTCTCCCAAAGCACTGGGATTACAGGTGTGAGTCACTGCACCTGGTCTTTTTATTGCTGATTTTATACTTACATACCTATGAAGTATAAATCTTAATTATTGTTTAGTAACAGCCAATGATTTAGTTTTTTGTGAGGCAGAAAATGGTTTTAATGATTTCTGCACATTAAATAATCAGACTAAACTTGGAGCATTAGGTAGACATTAAAAGCTATAAAAATTAGGAGAAAAATATACCACACAAATTCATTCTGGCCACTGGCAGAAATAGGCAGATAGGCAGAGGATGCTCTGGAAGTTAACTCAGGTACAACCTTCTCTACTGGGTTCCCTGAGAGAGCAATTCATTTGGGTGTGACATGAATTCATTTTGAAAATACCACTAAAACACACTAGGCACTTGCCTGTCATACTTACCTAATTTTTGATGCTGTGTGATGAATACAAACATTACTACAACTATGATTTAGGACACAGATGTACCAAAGACATTGGGGCTGCAGGCAAAGAAACTAAATGTGTTCTGCTTCTAATTGTGGCCTCGACACTGCTTTCTTAAAACAGTCACATGTACAAGCAAAGTCAAGTCTATATTCTTTGGTACAACATGTATTCTGAGCAATGCTTGTTTTAAGGCAAAATTAAAATAGCAGCCCTGATACCCAAGATTTTCTTCACAAATACAGTGGGCTGGAGGCATTTCCTTCAGCATTTGGAACTGATTTTTCTACCCAGACTTTTAGTGGACATGGTATGGAGCATGTCCTCACCGTGTCAAGAACGTGTGTTGGCTGGGCACAGTGGCTCACGTCTGCATTCCCAGCACTTCGAGAGGCTGAGGTGGGAGGGTCACCTGAGGCCAAGAGCTTGAGACCAGCCTGGGCAACCTAGTGAGAAACCGTCTCTACAAAACTGTTTTAAAAATTTAGCCAGGCATGGTGGCACACCTGTAGTCCCAACTATTTGGGAGGTTGAGGTGATAGGACCACTTCAGCCTAGGAGTTCAAAGCTGCAGTGAGCTATGAATACACCACAGCACCCCAACCTGGGTGACAGAGTGAGAGCCTGTCTCTCTCTTAAAGAAAAAAAAATTCAAAACGTTAAAAAATAAAAAAGTGTGCTAAGATATTTTGGGGACAGCTATGCCAAAGCCTGCAATTTTTCAACCATAGCAGAAGACGACATTAGGCTAAAATTTTTTCCAAAGCTCACCTTAATGATAAACTTAAAATGCAGGCATTTTTAGCAGTATAGAAAAGCAAAAATCCTCAATAATATATGCTTTCAGGATCCATTTTTCTCATGAAATCTTTTGTACTAGTTCTTATTTTGAAGACCAAAGGCTGATGCCTTTCTCGTGGAGAGTTAAGGAATAAAGGCAGGGAAGAGAAAAGGGTAACAGGGTAGAAAAGATGGCAATAATACTAAAAGCCTAACTCTTTAATACTGCTTCCTTATGGTATTCAGGAGATAATACCATTTTGTTCTTAAGAAATGTTTCATTAATATTATAACTTTCAACTCAGGTTTAAAAAAAGATATTTGCGCATCATATATGTATTAAGCACACATGGAAAGAAAAGGAAGGAAGAAACCTTTATTTCTTTATTTTACTGCTGTCACACTACTGAACACCATATTACCAAATTTAAGAGGCTTTTCTTAGATCCTACCATCCTTGACTTTTCCCACATTTCCCAGGTATCCTCCAACTCAAGGATTTTAACCTCTAGTTTCCCTATTGATGATCTCAATTATAACTATTGCTTTATTATCTACCAAATCTACCTCTCTAATCCCCAACTATCTCCTGAGATACATCTTCATCTCATTGATCCCAATACCTACATGGCTTCTAAGTCCTGACAATAAGCTTCAAACATTACTAACTCCACCAAAACAAATGCTTCCCAAATCCATTATTTCTATTTATGGAGACCAAACTATCATCACCTAGACCAGATCCAAATTCATTCCCTTACTTGTTGCTACTCTGGCCTACACTCCACATTTAATCTGCAAAGGCTTCTGGACTTTATCCTTACAATGTTGTCTGTATCAGGGATCTCCCTTTTAGTTCTTCTAACCACATTCAAGTATTCATTACCTCTTACATGGATTACTTTAGGAGCCTATTAATTTATCTCCTTATCTCATCTTTTTCTGCTCCAGTTTATCTTACACAAATTTGCAGAACTGATCCCCCTAAGGTGCAGCAATCATTATTTTACATTTCACCAAATCCTCAAAGATTAATGAATTAAATACAGACTCTTATTCCTAATCCTCAGAATTATGAGCAAGGCAAATCTACTTTGTTATAAAAATAGTTGCTTTCTCCCATTTTTACAGAGAGTGCTACTAAGGCACAGACTGGTAGAGACTAACAAGATTAAGATACCAACAGTAGACACAAATCAGGATTGGTGTGGGGAAAAAACTGGGATTAACTGGCAACCAAGGTTCTTAATTTTAATTTTTTACAGCTAAGTGTAACTTTTAAATCCTTTAACTAAAAATCCCATGGTCTGGGATGTTGCCTTTCAGTCAGCTCTCAGGACAGCTGATTTCCAACTCATGCAGTGTGGCACGAACTTCACAGTATGTGTGTGATAGAACCACATACATTCAGTTAACAAATTAGTAAGAGTGTAATACACATAAATGAGGATATCTAAGAATTAAATCTATATACTGCTTTCAATAAAATAAACACCCAACAGTAAGCCAAAGCTTTCATGAAGAGTAAAATAACCCAGTGGAAAAAAGAAAACATTGCCTGGCCCAACACTGCCACTTATAATTTAACAACCATTGCTCTCTCTCGACTTACAAAAATTCTGGCCAATATTATTTTTTATTTCCTATCAATATTAGATAAATATGGAATGAGTACATTGCTTTAAAACATAAACTCAATTTGAAACATTTACTATTACTGCCAATAAAAATGTAGCACATAACACTACTGAAATCTTACATTAGTTCATAAGCCTATTTGATTAATCTTTGTCTACCCTACTAGACTAAGTTTCAACAGAACAGGGGCCATCTGTTTTGAAAGACACAAACATTTAAACTAATGGAAAGACACAAACATTTAAACCAGTGTTGCAGAACAGAAAGACCCATCATGATAAAGATGTCAGTTCTCACAAAGTTAATTTAAAATGTGATACAATCCCATAAAAATACCCCTCACTCCTACCCATGGAGCTAGACGAACTGCTTAAAATTCATTTGGAAGAATAATAAAATAAGAATGAACTAAGAAAACTGATTTAAAAAAAGAGCAAAGCTATTGTTATCAGATTTTAAAGCATACAATAAAACATTTCTAATTAAAAGTGTGGTACTAAAAAAGTATGGTACTAACTCATGGACAGATGGATCAGTGAAATAGAAAAGAAAATCTAAAAAGAGACCAAACTGTATATGGAAATTGCTTTATAACAGCACAAGTGAATAAAATTCAAAGGGATAATGAAAATAATTTTTTAAAAATATATTTCCTTGTTTTAGAAATGTAAATGTTATTGCATGATTTCACATATTTAATACTGTATAAAGTTTCACTGTTCTACGCTCTAATTTTCTGCATTTATTACCACTTCTAAGGATCTTGCTTAGTTACCAAATTAGAGCTGTTCTTCAGTAATGCTATAATTATTCAGAAAACAACTCTTGCATAGAATACAATTTACAATGATAAAAGCAATTAAAAGTACAAAAGAAGAACAGTGTACCTCCTTTTAAATCTTAAGACTGAATAAGCTCTTTTTATTTTCTTTCAAAAAAACATGATCATAATAAATAATGGAACTGGTTATTACAAAAAGCAAACACATACTCTTTAGTGAATATCCCCCGAGGGCCAGTGGCTGTGCCCTGGCTAGCATCCAGTGAGTGTTTTTCCAGAATATTGCGGGCAGCTGGACTTAAACGGAACCTAAGAAAAAAATATGAAGGTTAATAGAACCAATTAACACTTACATTTGATTCAAATAGATCTAAATGTCAACAGTTTCGCAAATAATTAAAAAAAAATCTTATAATAAAGCTAAAATGACTCCCACAGATGGTCACAGTCAAATAATCTGTACCAATTTGGTTTATTTTATTCTTTAAACACTTTCGTAAAAATTTAGTTACTATTTCTAAATATGATTTTAATAAGAATAAATATTAATTAGGGGAAAGAGCTGCTATTTCAACTAATTACTTTCACATGGGTGCTCATCACAACTACCAATTGTTTCCTTCGTATATTTTGTTCTATCATTTCTTCATATATTTTGTATTGTGGCAAATGATACCTAAAATTTATCATTTTAAGCATTTTTAGGTGTACAACTGAGTGGCATTTAGTACAATCACACTATTGTGCAACCATCACCACCATCTATCTCCAGAAATGTTCATCTTTCCAAATTGAAACTCTGTATCTATTAAACAGTAACTCTCCATTCCTCCTTCCTCCCAACCCCTGGTAACCATTCTCTTTGTCTCTGTCAATTTGACTACTCTAGGTAACTCACATAAGTAGAATCATACAGTTATTTGTTTTGTGACTGGCTTATTTTACTGAGCATAATATTCTCAAGGTTTATCCATGCAGCATTTATCAGAATTTCCTTCCTAAAAAGCTGAATCACATTTCATAGCATTTTGGACTTATGAGTTGTTTCTACCATTTTGCTACTGTGAATAATGTTGCTATGAACATAGATGTACAAATATCTCTTTCCAGTCTTTGCTTTCAGTTATTTTGCATATATATCTGGAAGTGGACCTACTAGATGATATGGTAATTTTAATTTTCTAAGAAACTGCCATACTGTTTTCCACAGTAGCTGCAGCATTTTACACTTCCACTAGGCAACAACAAGGGTTCCAAATTATCCATGTCCTTGCCAACACTTGTTATAATCTGGGTCTGGTTTGGTTTTTGTTTGTTTGTTTGTTTTGATACTAGCCATCCTGAAGGGTATGAAGGGGTGTCTCATTGTGGTTTTGATTTTCATTTCCCTAATGGTTAGTGACGGTGAACATATTTTTCATGTGCCTGCTGGCCATCTATGTATCTTCTTGGGAGAAATGCTATTAAAGTTCTTCACCTGTTTTTTAATTGGGTTGTTTTGCTGAGGTTGAATTGTATGTATACACAATTATATATATTTATTATATATATAGGATACCTCAGATTACATGACTAATGGTATATCTCTTGTATGCAAAGTAGTAAACAAATTACTACATGGTCAGATAAAGAAAATAAGCCTGATTAGTACAGATTAAAACAGGCTGGATCTAGAAATTAAAGCTAAGAGACAGAAACAACTGTGGAACTTGCTGCATTTCAGGGAAGTATTAAATAACTCTGATATGGGCCCAATGTTACTAAATCTTTAGATTTTTCAAGAGAATCTGAAATTTTAGATTTTTATATAGGATTAGTAACCAACCAACCAAAAAAAAATTTTTTTTTCATTCACTGTGTGCCCAACAGTATGCAGAGTTCACAGGTCAGTAGGTTTTTAACCTACACAGTGGGGCCTGATTCATGCGAGTCTCTGATGATGACTGATCTTAATTAGGGTACATACTATTATTATCTTTGCAAGGGCAGAAGACCATTAGTTAGAAAGCATCAGTGAGACTGTCTTCCAATTTTTAGGGTAAATGAAAGAGGAGACAGTAAATGGGAGTCAAGGCAACAGAGTCAGAAACACTGCACTAGGAATTTAAAATCAGTACTTCAAAAAGCAGGCCAGGCGCAGTGGCTCACGCCTGTAATCCCAGCACTTTGGGAGGCCGAGGCAGGCGGATCATGAAGTCAGGAGTTCGAGACCAGCCTGGCCAACATGGAGAAACTCCATCTCTACCAAAAATACAAAAAAATTAGCCAGGCATGGTGGCACATGCCTGTAATTCCAGCTACTCAGGAGGCTGAGGCAGGAGAATCGCTTGAACCCAGAAGACCGAGGTTGCGGTAAGCTGAGATTGCACCATTGCACTCCAGCCTGGACAATGAGATCAAAACTCCGTCACCCACCTCCGCACGCCCCCCCCTAAAAAAAGCACTGTGGATTCTTTTCTGACAATGATAAACTAAAGGAAAAAATGTTTAAGAATGAAGAGGTCTACTTTATGAAGATCTTTTTCTCGTAAAGAAAAAGTAATGTTGTATAATTATATAGAATACTAAATAAATGAAATGTTAGAATTTACAGAGTTCTTCTATTAAAGCAATGTAAAACTAAAGTGAAATGATGTGTATTAAGTTATCTGTTTTGTTACAGAACAGACAAAATTGAGCTCTAGTCTGTGCCGGAAAGTCATAATGCAGACTAGTTTGAAAACGAATGCATGTTAAAACATGAATTCTATTTTATATCAGATAGACATTTGAGCTTGGAATTCCTGTAACAGTAATTAGAACTCCATAAATGGGAACAGAGTATCAAGTTTGGTATATTGAATACCATTTTAGACTTCTAAAACCTAATTCAACCTCAACATGGACACATACTGTTTGGTTTTCCATTGTGCAAGCAGGGCTTTTAGAGTACCTGGAACATAGCAGATATTCAGTAACTATTTATTTACTGAATGAACAATGATGGTTAAAAAAAAAAACACACACTCTAAGGTCTGAGTGTGCTGAGAACAGCAACTTCCTACGTGATGTACAACGATGTGCGAATATGATAATGATTACAATTCCATAAGAACTGCCATAACTTTTTTTTTTTACATCATCCTTTGAATAAATATATACTCACCGTAGTGTCCCGGGTATGTGTTCCTTCTTGACAGGGATGGAAATCTGTGGTTCTGGTGAGGGGCGAGGCTCTGAAGGTTTTGAAACTGGTGGTGGAGGACCTACGTCTTTGGGAATTTCAACATGTTTCCAATCTTCTCCTTCTTCTACTATCAAACCAATTAGTGAACCTAGCCGTATATTTTTACTTCCTTCTTCAACCTATATTTAAAAAAGAAGTAACTGTAGAGAAGTAAAACCCCATGACTGCATTAAGTAGTTTGTTCTTTTGTTGGGTAATTCTCCCCTTAAGATATCTTAATTTGAGCTAAAAGCTGCTTCCAAGACAGTTTGCCTCTGCCTTCCACCTGTCACCTTCTCCACTTTCTCCCACTTATGCCTTCCTTCACCATTCTCCTCTTCCCACTTGCTAATGCTACCTTCTGAAATAAAGGATAAATCTAGAATGTATCCTCTTTCTGAGAGCCTTCAAATAAACATGTAAGATCCATCATTATCATCTTCTTTTTGATGTCAATACAAATCCAAACAGGAGCCTGTGGCTACATATCTTAACCATTTGTCTTTCCCAGAGAGTTTCTATGCAATGGCTTTAGAATTCTAAAAGCTCAGAAGGGATTAACTCCCTCAACTTAGTCCAATCTACTAAAATTTACCTAATGCAAGAATCTTTTCAGTAAACTTAGTCTGAAAAGATGAACATTCTAATGTATAGATAGAACTGGTTAACTATTCCAGTTAATGTTAAATATAGTCTACTTCTTTATATTTAATTATTTCCCTGTATATCTATTTACAAAACCTGAAAAATAAAATAAAACCTCATGAGTTTTTTTATAAGTATATCAGAAACACAGTGGTGTCTCAGTTAATAAAGCATTTCTTCCACAGATAATGCCAATTAAACACTTAAATAAAATCAAAGATAATGTTTTTAAAAGTTAAGTATATTTTAAGCATTTCAGCAGCATTAATTTATAAAGAAAGGGCTAATTCTAATTTACTTACTAAAAAGAAGTCCCTAGAAAACCTTCAAATAACAATATTTTATAAGTTCACTCCTGGAAGAAAATGTCATTCCCTTAAAATCTTCTATTATTCCCTTTCAATTACTCTAAATAAGGTTCATTAGCTGTATTTAATGAACAATAGAATGATAGGCTGCAGGACGTCCACTAATACAGTAATGGTAAGGAAAAGCATAACTTCTAGAATGAGTTTGACATATCAGAGTAACACTAATTTCAATGCTTACTGGTATGTTCACTATCGTTAATAAGGCATAAGTTATAAGGGGTTAGGAAGCTAAGTTTACTAATTACTGATGAAGAAGAAAAGCAGCAATGCTTTCATGAAGCAAAATACATATATATATATATGAAATTAGTATAGAAAGCTGAATAGGAATGTTTAATGAATTACAAGCTATGGAAGAATACTAAGAAAGCCAAGAAAAATCTAGTTGCTTAGTTGTTTGCCACATACTAAAAAATTTTGCTTCTGCAGAGTTCCTTTTTCTTTACTATGTCAAAAAGATGAGTTAAGATTATTATTAGACCAATATTTTTCTTCTAAAAGTGTTTAATTACCTGCTTGTGAATTGCTAACTCAAAAATCAAAGTAAAATGACTAATTTTCTTTAAAAATGTATACAAAAAAGCACTGTTAAGTGACATGAAGTCCACTTGATGTTAATTCCTTTCAAAACTGAATCAGAAATAGGATCAATATCCAAGTACAAAGAACATCATTCAAATGTAAAGCATTAAAAAAAGTTTTGCTTTAAAAATATCAATAGATTTCTAAAATCTGAGTCAGACAACTGTACTACATCTGAAAGTGGTACCTCACCTTCTGTTTCATTTACTGTAAATCATATAAATGATTCCATATATACTCTACCAACGTAACATTGACACCTTCACAAGTAGGCAATAAACAGCATTTATCATCATTTCAATTTTTACCATTATCTAAATATCAAATAAAATTTATTTTTAACTATTCACATTTTTTTCTATTTAAAAAAGTGACACCATGAAGCATGAAACCCAAATACAATGGACAAGGACAAGTGATATACAACCATACAACTTGAATATATAACAGAAGATAAAATACAGTTGATTATAATTCCATTTAAAGTCATTAAAATCTCTATATGAATTTAAGATAATTTCTTCAACCTTTTCTATTCCTTTGGTGCAGAGATCTTTCAGAGGTGTGCTAATTTCCTGTAAGCATTTGCTTACACTGTAGTAGGCAAATACTCAAAACTGGTGTAGACTTAGTATAAATACGTAAATAATACTCTTTGCAAAACTGTTTAAAAACCAAGCAGGCCTCTGTTACTGTTCCCTTTCCTCTCTGAGCTACCTCCATGGTAGCTCATGGTACCTCCATGGATACACTCTGCCCTACCAAAGCATCTGGAGCTAAGGACACCTCAAATGCCAGAGTTTTCTTATGCACTCAGCTTACTTGACCAAAGCCCTCTCTTACTCTTCTGCCAATGATTTCTTAATATTAAATGCAGGGTTTTTACACATAGCTCTATCAACTTAGAGCTCATCGATACTGAAATATTGAATGTTGAGTCTATCATTTCAAATATTAGCCTTCCCTCCCAGTTGTGTACAGACTTCCTGAGTTTCAACGCTGGCTCCACCACTTACTAGTTATGTGACCTTAGTAAAGTTTCCTTATCTCACCATGCTTGTTTTCTGAGCTGTAAGATGCAAATAACAGTAGCTACTTCACATTGTTGTTATGAGGAATAAATGAGTTATATGTAAGGCCCTTAGAATAGTGTCTGATAGCTAGTAACTTGTTTTCATTTTCATTGTTAAAGGCATTATTATTGCTGTTGTTATTGCTGTGGTGTTTTCCTTCAAATTATGGATTTTTTAAAACAATACATTCAACATGGATCAAGATTAGACTACAGGGGACTGACCCCTTGGTATGGGTTAGAAATTCATGCTTAAAGGCTTAGCATGTGGCTGGCAGCACTAAAGGGCAAACATCAACATATACGATAATGGGTAGTAAGGTCTGTGACAAACTATTTCTTCATAATTCTCAGACAGAGGCTGAATTCTATCCCTCAAGCCCAGGTCACTAGTGTGAGGCTTCTGTACCAGAGACATTCTCACATCTTAACCAATCAATCACCTGCAAATGTGCTACAAACAGCTCACCTAATCTCATCTGTGTACACAGGGATATGAGATGCAAAACATTTACAGCAGTATGTCCAACAGAGAAATTGAGAGGGCTCATTCCATTAAAGGCACAAGTAAATATTGTCTGTTTTAATTCTGATATTAAAATCAATATATTAAGTAATTATTTAAGTACTTTTATTCTTTAAAATAGAGCAGTTTGAAAGCTACCTAGTGACTACTGACAGAGCATGTGCAGCAGTGAGTGGAGATGACCTGAGTCACGTGACTGACTTATCTGGTTCATCACTATGATTTTCCATCATGGTGTGAATCATTATACAATTTTGAACTGTTTTGATTCTTCAATGTATACTGTTTATCTTATATGAACAATGAACTTTGGTTTATAAGGAAGTACATAAGAAATACTGAAAATGAGAACAAACCAATGATAAGCTAAAATACAGAGGGGAAGAAGAAACATTCATTAAGCCCTTGAATAACAGTTGTCTGGCTTTCAAGTGCCAAGCACTGTTCCAGCACAGCATTAACTCATTTAATCCTAACAACCTTCTGAGGTAAATACTATCATTATTCCCATTTATAGATGAGAAAATTAAGGCACGAAGAGGTTATGTAACTTGCTCAAGATCACAAGACAAGTATGTAGCAGAGGCAGGATTTAAATGTAGTCTAACATCAGAGATGGTATCCAATATAATCGCTACCAAATCAATAATTTATCAAATCTGTAAATTATATCCAACTGATCAAAATTATCATGCAGCACCTCAAGATGGTGTCTGTATTTTAAAAAAACAAGTTTAAAAGGTATAAAGTGGATGTAACAATTTAGCTTTTGATTCATGGGGAATATAAACTATCTTTCCTCACAATCTGTCATAACTATTTCAATATGAAAAAATTAGAGTTGATAGCAGTAGCATGCTGTTTTGGTTACTGTAGCCTTGTAGTATACTTTGAAGTCACGTAGCATGATGCCTCCAGCTTTGTTCTTTTGGCTTAGGATTGACTTGGCGATGCAGGCTCTTTTTTGGTTCCATATGAACTTTAAAGTAGTTTTTTCCAATTCTGTGAAGAAAGGCATTGGTAGCTTGATGGGGATGGCATTGAATCTATAAATTACCTTGGGCAGTATGGCCATTTTCACAATATTGATTCTTCCTACCCACGAGCATGGAATATTTTTCCATTTGTTTGTATCCTCTTTTATTTCATTGAGCAGTGGTTTGTAGTTCTACTTGAAGAGGTCCTTCACGTCCCTCGTAAGTTGGATTCCTAAGTATTTTATTCTCTTTGAAGCAATTGTGAATGGGAGTTCACTCATGATTTGGCTCTCTGTTTGTCTGTTATTGGTGTATAAGAATGCCTGTGATTTTTGTACATTGATTTTGTATCCTGAGACTTTGCTGAAGTTGCTTATTAGCTTAAGGAGATTTTGGGCTGAGACAATGGGGTTTTCTAGATATACAATCATGTCGGCTGCAAACAGGGACAATTTGACTTCCTCTTTTCCTAATTGAATACCCTTTATTTACTTCTCCTGCCTAATTGCCCTGGCCAGAACTTCCAACACTATGTTGAATAGGAGTGGTGAGAGAGGGCATCCCTGTCTTGTGCCCGTTTTCAAAGGGAATGCTTCCAGTTTTTGCCCATTCAGTATGATATTGGCTGTGGGTTTGTCATAGATAGCTCTTATTATTTTGAGATACATCCCATCAATACCTAATTTATTGAGAGTTTTTAGCATGAAGGGTTGTTGAATTTTGTCAAAGGCCTTTTCGGCATCTATTGAGATAATCATGTGGTTTTTGTCTTTGGTTCTGTGTATATGTTGGATTACATTTATTGATTTGCGTATCTTGAACCAGCCTTGCATCCCAGGGATGAAGCCCACTTGGTCATGGTGGATAAGCTTTTTGATGTGCTGCTGGATTCGGTTTGCCAGTATTTTATTGAGGATTTTTGCATCAATGTTCACCAAGGATACTGGTCTAAAATTCTCTTTTTTTGTTGTGTCTCTGCCCGGCTTTGGTATCAGGATGATGCTGGCCTCATAAAATGAGTTAGGGAGGATTCCCTCTTTTTCTATTGATTGGAATAGTTTCAGAAGGAATGGTACCAGTTCCTCCTTGTACCTCTGGTAGAATTTGGCTGTGAATCCATCTGGTCCTGGACTCTTTTTGGTTGGTAAGCTATTGATTATTGCTACAATTTCAGATACTGTTATTGGTCTATTCAGATTCAACTTCTTCCTGGTTTAGCCTTGGGAGAGTGTATGTGTCGAGGAATTTATCCATTTCTTCTAGATTTTCTAGTTTATTTGTGTAGAGGTGTTTGTAGTATTCTCTGATGGTAGTTTGACCCTCAGAAATAACGCCGCATATCTACAACTATTTGATCTTTGACAAACCTGAGAAAAACAAGCAATAGGGAAAGGATTCCCTATTTAATAAATGGTGCTAGGAAAACTGGCTAGCCATATGTAGAAAGCTGAAACTGGATCCCTTCCTTACACTGTATACAAAAATTAATTCAAGGTGGATTAAAGACTTAAACGTTAGACCTAAAACCATAAAAACCCTAGAAGAAAACCTAGGCATTACCATTCAGGACACAGGCATGGGCAAGGACTTCATGTCTAAAACACCAAAAGCAATGGCAACAAAAGCCAAAAATTGACAAATGGGATCTAATTAAACCAAAGAGCTTCTGCACAGCAAAAGAAACTACCATCAGAGTGAACAGGCAACCTATAAAATGGGAGAAAATTTCCGCAACGTACTCATCTGACAAAGGGCTAATATCCAGAATCTACAATGAACTCAAACAAATTTACAAGAAAAAAACAAACAACCCCATCAAAAAGTGGGCAAAGGGTATGAACAGACACTTCTCAAAAGAAGACATTTATGCAGCCAAAAGACACATGAAAAAATGCTCATCATCACTGGCCATCAGAGAAATGCAAATCAAAACCACAATGAGATACCATCTCACACCAGTTAGAATGGCGATCATTAAAAAGTCAGGAAACAGGCCGGGCGCGGTGGCTCACGCTTGTAATCCCAGCACTTTGGGAGGCCGAGGCGGGTGGATCATGAGGTCAGGAGATCGAGACCATCCTGGCTAACACGGTGAAACCCCGTCTCTACTAAAAAAATACAGAAAAATTAGCCGGGCGTGATGGCGGGCGCCTGTAGTCCCAGCTACTCGGGAGGCTGAGGCAGGAGAATGGCGTGAACCCGGGAGGCGGAGCTTGCAGTGAGCCGAGATTGCGCCACTGCACTCCCACCTGGGCCAAAGAGCAAGACTGCGTCTCAAAAAAAAAAAAAAAAAAAAAAAAAGTCAGGAAACAAAAGGTGCTGGAGAGGATGTGGAGAAATAGGAATACTTTTACACTGCTGGTGGGACTGTAAACTAGTTCAACCATTGTGGAAGTCAGTGTGGCGATTCCTCAGGGATCTAGAACTAGAAATACCATTTGACCCAGCCATCCCATTACTGGGTATATACCCAAAGGACTATAAATCATGCTGCTATAAAGACACATGCACATGTATGTTTACTGCGGCACTATTCACAATAGCAAAGACTTGGAACCAACCCAAATGTCCAACAATGATAGACTGGATTAAGAAAATGTGGCACATATACACCATGGAATACTATGCAGCCATAAAAAATGATGAGTTCATGTCCTTTGTAGGGACATGGATGAAACTGGAAATCATCATTCTCAGTAAACTATCACAAGGACAAAAAACCAAACACCGAATGTTCTCACTCGTAGATGGGAATTGAACAATGAGAACACATGGACACAGGAAAGGGAACATCACACTCTGGGGACTGTTGTGGGGTGGGGGGAAGGGGGAGGGATAGCATTAGGAGATATACCTAATGCTAAATGACGAGTTAATGGGTGCAGCACACCAGCATGGCACATGTATACATATGTAACTAACCTGCACATTGTGCACATGTACCATAAAACTTAAAGTATAATAATAATAATAATAATAAAATAAATAAATAAATAAACAAACATTAAAAAAAGAAAAAATTAGAGTTGAGAATATCTTCCATTTAATAGAACTGCTCTGAGCTCTGAGAGGCTATTTTCTCAATTAAAAATATCACGGTCTAGACAGAAGAATCATTTGAAGCCTCTACAACTTCAAATTTCAACCATAAACTTTCAAACCATTAAAAGGCAACTTTGAATGGGATTGTGGGCAACTTAATGAAAAAATAAGGGTGGGGAAGGGGTATCTAACGAATACAGTAATATTTAAAAATGTATTCTTTAGAAAAATACCAATGACAGTATTTGAGTGAGATAAAGTGAAGAAACCAACTGAAGAAGGTGAATAGTACCGAGAATAATTATTCTGCTATTTTTAGTATTCAGATGATCAATTAAAAAACCATTTTTTTAAAAAAAATTTGTTTTAATATCCATGGATGCTATTTTTTAGAAAAAATTCTACTTTTGAAAATTGTTTTGAATAATGGTCTATCAATAAAAATCTATCAATAAATATATTGCTAGTCAATAAATACATTGCAAACATTACATAAATGTAAATAATTTTGACATCTTATACCCTTTTCATCCTCACAAATATCCTAATTGGTGTGCCAAATTATATAGCAACCCCAAATACACTGGAAGCCAAATTAGAGAACCTCTAATAAACCCTCCAAATATGTCATCCTAAGATTCTACTTTATTAATTTATCATTTAAAACAGCTGCTGTTCAATTTGCTAAATACTAACTTTAAGAATAAGCTGATGAACTGATCTTTAAATGTATAATAACTGAAGTATTTTTGTATCAAAATTTACTAGTTTTGACAGGGCATGGTGGTTCACGCCTATAATCCTAGCACTTTGGGAGGCCAAGGTGGGCAGATTACTTGAGTCAGGAGTTCAAAACCAGCCTGACCAAATTGGAGAAACCCGTCTCTACTAAAAATACAAAATTAGCTGAGTGTGGTGGCACATGCCTGTAATCTCAGCTACTTGGGAGGCTGAGGCAGGAAAATCATTTCAACCCAGGAGGCGGAGGTTGTGATGAGCCAAGATCGTGTCCAGCCTGGGCAACAAGAGCAAAACTCCATCTCAAACAAAAACAAAAACAAAAACAAAAAACAGAAGAAAAAAAGATTTACTAGTTTGTCCCTGATAAAATTGCAACATCTTGTTGTGAAGAGACTCCCAAATATTATCCAAAAAGCATGTGGAATAATAATAAAGCCACAAAGGCCTAAAATATACAGTCTTTTCTTTGGCAAGAAAATAGCTGTGCCACCAAAGCCACTATCAACTATATGCACTCCCACTCCCAACCTTTTTCAGAGCATAGGGGCCAGATGAATTGGCACTGCTGACCCACTGACATGGTTAGCAATTTGAAATGTATTACTAAGCAGCTAAGTGGAAAAATGCTATCAATTCTGGAAGATTTCCACAGCCAAACAATCCAGAATTGGGGCCAAGAACACAGTTTGCCAAAAGCACACATAATAAAATGTAGCTGGGTTTATTACATGGTAATTCAAGCAATCTGTTTCAATATGCTGCATAAATTAGTCAAGAAAACTATTTTTGGTATGAATATTTATATTTTCCTAGTTACAAATGTACAGAAATTTTAGGCTTTGATTCATATTCCTACAAGGAAGTTAACTGTATTATCAACATGTTTCAACCTGGAATGTTATATCTAGTATCTAATATGAGAGATGACAAGTAAAGGAGTTTGACATATTCGAAGTTAAAAATACAACATAAGTGGCTAAAAAAAAAAAAAAAAGGAAAAGAGGATTTTCTAGAAAGAAAAACAAATAAAAAATTGTCTCTAGATTTGCACCTAGTTAGAGTATAGCATTCTGAAGTGTAGTCTTTGAATAGAATATACAAAGGAAGGTGTTACATCTATGCTCAAAGCAGAGGTAAGCTGGTGGCTCAGAAATAAAAACACATCCACAAGGGACTGCTAATAGACATGCAGCTCATCTGTACAAATTGAACTCCAGAGGCACAAATGGATACTTATTATCCAGTTGCAACCAACCAATACAAATTATTAGGCAAACATACAGACTGACTTGGGGACTAATGGTCACCAAGAGCTGAGGAAACAGTTCTAATAATGGGAAAAGTAACATTTATTGAGCAATTGGGTAACAGGTCTTGAGATGAGCATATATGTACTCTCTCAATCTTCCCTACTGTCCTATGAAGTAGGTATTATTATCATCTCTACTTTAACATGAAGAAAAAGGCACAGGGGATGAAGAATTTGCTTATCATTACGTAACTAATAACTGGCAGAACTTTTTAGATATAACATGAATCAGTCAGCGGGGTGATTCCAGAGTCCACAGTCTTAGATGCTCCACCATACTACCTAGTAAAGGTTCTGGAAGTTAAGAAACAAACACGCTGGTTGGCTCAATCAGGGAATATACCACACAATGCTAAATAGTCATGTTTCTACCATATGTAGCTCTACGCATTTTATTTCACTTACTTTTCACATAAGCTCTAATATTCCATTATAAAAATAACGCACATTACAGAAAATTTAGAAAATACAGAAAAATAGGCTATTAGACCTTAACTCTAAAACATTTTAAACACTTGAACTAAAAATGTATTATGTAGTAGACAATACACATTAAAAATAAGGAGGCAAAAATAAAAGGTAATTTTACTACAATGAACTTTCCACTCAAGAAATCTTCATCCTGTTGAAGAAAATTAAAATAAAAACTTACCACGATTTTGGCCAAGATTCCATCATCACTTGCATCTAAGGTAACCACAGCTTTGTCAGTCTCAATTTCACATAATGCATCTCCAGCACTCACCGCTTCACCTACAAAACAAGACTGGGTTTGTTTTGTTTTTTAAAATATAAATATTACTATGTATATATGTACGTATGAATAAAACATAAATAAATACCAAAATATTCCGTAGCTATTTCTGGGTTGTGGAAATACAAGTAATTCTCATTATGTGTGGGTGTTTGTGTGTGTGTGTGTATGTGTATGCTTTGCTGTAATTTCCAAAAGCTCTATAATGGACATAAATTATACTTGTGATAATAAAAAAGCTATTACAAAGATTACTGAGCATGTAAAAATGAAATCAACCTTAAAGACATCAGCAACAAATGTGTATCCACCTCTGAACAAATCAATTCCAGACTCCATATCCCCCTTACTTTTTCAAACATTTTGACTATATTCCCTGAAGAAAAGTTTTACAATTAACAGTACTTCTGGGTTCACATCTTAGGGCAAGTTCAAAAAACCTGTTGGCAGCACACAGTATAAATGAATAAAGCATATAAAGCATAAAAAGAGAAAATCAAAGACACAACTGAAGTCAAATACAGATCATTTCTCTGCAACAGAAAATATCTGGAAACTCAAAAATATGGAGGAAGACCTGAAGTTCCAGGCTTACTAGCTTCTGGATTTAGGAGCAGGTTTGGAGCAAACAGGGGAAAAGAGGTACAACAGTTTCCTTTGGGGATTAAAGGGAACTAAAAGTAGTCTGTTGGATATAGGGGACTCAAATCAGATTCACTATTTGGAGCTAGGGCTAAGTCAGGGTTCTTCTACTCATAATGTGAGGCTGATAAAATGCACAATCAAAACCTGTTGACTGAGACTATGATTTTAATCAGCAACCATGGGTCTAGGAAGGTGGGGACCAGAATACTGCCTCAGTACCAGGAACAAAGTCAAGCCACCCTCTGGCTCCGGGGCTGTATCTGCCAATATCCCCAATATCAATTGCAAAATTCCTTGGATGGTGGCAAGGATCGAGGGGGGACTGCGTAGGAGGGAAGACATTAAAACATAAACTTTCCACTTAAAAGTAAATTGCACAAGAAAGTTCTGAGACACACGAAGAAATCAAAAGCTAAGAAAGCAAGCCACAAAATCAGTAATTGTAACAAAAATTCTTTTCAGAAGCAATTTATTTAGTGCAATCTGTCAAAGATTGTAAAATAAGTACTTGAGGACATCCAAAAACATAAATGAAAGTAAAAGAGCCATCACAAGAACAAGAAATTAAAAAAAAATGGTATCAGGTAGAAATAAAAAAACGAATTAGAAATCTTAAAAATGAAAAATTAAGTAATTGAAATAAAAAGAAACAACAGAATATATTCTAGACAGGGAATAGTGAAGGTATGAATTAGTAAATTGAAAGGTAGCACTAATGAACTACGCAGAATTTCATACAGGCAGACAAAAAGATACAAACATTAAAAACAAAAAACAAAACAAAACGAAAAAACAGAAAAGAGCAGTTAAGTGACAAAGACTGAGGCTGCAATGTTTGCTAATGGAGTTCTGAGGGAAGACACTGGAGGCACTGGTGGAGAAGCAATACCTGAAGAATTAGTGGCTGAGAATTTCCCAGAACTGGAGATGTATACTCTCATCATCAAAGAGTTTTGAATGAATTTAGGATAGGTGTACTGACTAGCAGGGGGCATACGGATCTGTGTAGCTTGCTAAGAATGTTCTAAATCTTGATCTAGGTGGTGGTAACATGGGTATACATGTATACAAAATTTAATTGAGCCTAAAGTTTATGCAAGTTATACCTTGATAAAAACTTAAACAGAAAAAAGAGTATTAGACTATATAAACATGAATCCATATTAGATACAATGTAAAGAAACCGCATTCTATCAACGATAAAAACATAATCTTTTAAAAATCTATCAAAGGGGAAAAAAAACAGATTACCTCAATGGAAAGACTGAGAGTACACTTCTCAGCAGCTGCAACAGAGGTCAGAAAACAATGAAGTAATATCTTCAAAAAACTGAGGAAAAATAACTGTCTAGAATTTTGTATGCTGCCAAACCATCATTTGAGAATGAAAGAGAAGTATTCTTTAGATATATAAAGGCTAGGAAATTTTACCACCTATTAAAGATCTCTTTAAAAAGCTCTTACAAGATGCAGTTCATCAAGAAGAAAAGTGGAAGCAGATGGAACCCATGGGCTATAAGAAACAAGTTATTGTGAAAATTACTAAAATGTTAACTACTAGTATTTTTAAAGTAATGTTTGAGGGTTTAAAAAGTGTAAAACTCAAACTCTAAAAAATAATAAGATAGGTAAGGAAATGTTTAGATGGTAAGGCATGCTAACAACTTTGATATATTCAGCTGGTGCAAAAGTAATTTTATTTTTACCACCTTACTTTCAAAAACCCCAATTACTTTTGCATCAACTTATAATAGGAGAAAAATACTGAATAATACTAAACTTTATTGGCAAAATTTAATTTAAAATTTAAAAACAGAAATATAATCTACAGCATTAGAAAAACAGAGGAAAAATAAGAAGTTGATTATCTAACTGAGGGCAGGCACATGGAAAGAAAAGGCAAAGGATAAAAACAAAAATGCACAAAAAATGGTAGAAATAAGTCCCCATGTATCCGTAATCACAATAAATATAAATGGATTAAAATCACCCATTAAAAGTAGAGATTATCAAAATGGATATGAAAATAAAATCTAGGTAAATGTAGCTTACAAGAGATAGCCCTAACACAAAAACAGAATAAAAAACAAGGGGATAAAAAATATGTAACATATAAATACACCTCCTCACACACCAAAAATAGCTGGAATAGCAATATTAACAGGCAAGCATCATAAGAGAATATGAAAGAAAATCTAAAACACTAAATTAACAAATATGCTCTGAACGTTCACAGTACAGAAAGTACTTCATTGTGTACCAAGATGATCAAATTGATAGTTATATCTTCAGGTTAAATAGTTCAGAGACACTAATATAAGTTATTTTTAAAAATAAATTGATATGTTAGATGATATTTATTTACCACCTAAAAGGTCCTTTGTCTAACTCCAAAGAGATGTCCCTAGTCAACAAACATTTATTAAAAATGTATTGGGGTGGCCAGGCGTGTAGGCTCACACCTGTAATCCCATCACTTTGGGAGGCCGAGGTGGGTGGATCACCTGAGGCCAGGGGTTCAAGACCAGCCTGGCCAACATTGTGAAACCCCGTCCCTACTAAAAATACAAAAATTAGCCAGGAGAGGTGGCAGGCACCTGTGGTCCCAGCTACTCGGGAGGTTGAGGCAGAAGAATCACTTGAACCTGGGAGAAGGGGGTTGCAGTGAGTCAAGATCATGCCATTTCACTCCAGCCTGGGCAACAAGAGCAAAAACTCTGTCTAAAAAATAATAATAATTATATAAATATATTTTATATATATATACACACACACACACATATTTGTATTATATATTTATATATTACATATAAAATATATATACATATGTAGGCACTGAGGATACAGCAGTGGACAGTAATAACAGCAAAGATTTAAGATTCCTGACCTCAAGAAGCTTGCTTAATATCCATTGACAAGTAAACTGGAAAATACAGCAGGATAAGGTGAGGTCAGGATGCTTTGGGAATGTTCAGGAGGGGCATCTAATTCAGTTTTTGTAAGGTGAGAAAAGGCTTCCTAGAATACAATGACCACCTATTCTGAGCCTGAAGAGGTGAGGAGGAGACAATCTGTAAACAGGCAGTGATCCAGGTAGAAGGTAATACACTTATAGCCCTGGAGGCAGAGAGAACAGGAAACTTCAGAGAAACTGGCAAATAGTATGCGAGAGAAGTGACGAGAGATTAGGCTGGTAAGATATGCAGGAAGAGACCAAAAATGACCTTTGTATGTCATAGAGAAAGCTACAGTGTCAGATTATATCATCTTACATACTTCTTTAAATGTTTTAGTGGTTAAAACAGATTGCACTTCAAAAGGGAAAAAAAGCACACCCTCAAAGATTTCTGCTATAATCACGGGAAAAACTATAGAACTAGTAAACCCAGCAATTAAATACCTCTTAGATGCCTAGAAAACAGACTCTAGCCACAGAAAAACAAAATGATGCTATATCATCATTTGTGTTCATCAGTATTCAAATTCCAACCACACTTTAAGAACTACAGATTCGACTTCAGCTATATAACTTTCTCTGAGTAACTTGACCTACATAATTTTGTTCATATTCCAGATTCCTATAGTAGGTCTAATTTATTTAAAAATCACAAATTGCATATAAAATGTTATATTACTGCTAATTACTTTTTTAAATTGTGATTTCCTCTATTTACTAGACTATGAGCTTCTTCACAATACGGACAGGACACTTAAATGTTTTATATTCCCATCCCCATTCCTCAGGTTTCATGGCCAATGCACCATACCCAATGAATTTTAGATTAAAATGCTTTAGAAAAAAACATGATAACTTCACGAATCCTTATTTCCTCATAAGGTATACATCAAATTATCTTTTACATTTCTTTTGCTTCTAACATTTGATTTGTAGCATGCTTCTGATATTTAAAAAGATAGCCTTTTTTTCTTTTTTAAAAAACTATATCTATTCACATAACACAGACATATATGTTAGCTAGATGAGAATGCCAAGGGAGAGGGTAGAAGAGAAAAGCAGGAGGAGAGAGAAGGAAAAAAGGAGAGGACAAAAGAGAGGGAGGTAGGGAAAAGAAACACAGAACACTTTACCAATAAATCACAGGGAAGTTTTAAAAACATAGTAATATTACGTATGGAAGCATTACCCCTAACTCATCACAAAACCAAAGTTCTATCTTTCAATAATCAAACATCATGTAAATGCCAAAAGAAAACTCTGAGAGCAAATAATGAGCCATGAATATTTCAAATCTACTGAGTTTCAGCTGTGATCAAAAATTTAGTGCTATAACTTAGAAAGACTCCTTGGCAGAGTAGTTACAAGGAACCTCTCCTAATTCAAATATGAGTTTGATTCCAAGCTCTGACAGTTACTAGTGATCTTGACCAAGTTACTTAATCTCTCTGACTCTCAGGAAAATTTTAAATGTATAGATATATATTTTTTAAGTCATGGGGCTGGAAGTGTTAATGCTTCACATACATCTTTATGTAACACTTTACAACATCTCTAGGTAAAAATAAAATGTTAGCTATACAACCATTTTGAATCAAGACACATTTATTCCATATTCTGTCATGTCTACCTGAATCAAGATACGGTTTTTTTCCATATTCTGTCATTTCTACCAGAATCAGGACACATTTATTCCATATTCTGTCATTTCTACCAGATCATCCAACAAACATTAATGTATAAGGCACTGTACTAAGCACTGGGTATGAAAACAACAAAAAGAGAAGGTTCTGTCCACAAAGAGTTTAAAGTGGAGAAGAGTGGAAAAGACTCAGCAGCTAGGATAGAGGGTCCTGGACAGCGTGAGATGACAGATGGCTTCTCAGCTGTCAGGTTCATAGCTGACTGATTGAAGAAAGAGATGGCAGCCCTGGAGTGTTCCTGCACCATCTTCTCGTGGTCCATGGCAGTGGCGGAAGAGGAGCGGGCCCAGAGCGAGAGTGCGGGCCCCAGGAGGGGCCAGAGCAGAGGCCCACCCGGGGGCCGCTCCCCAGCACCGACGCCAGCATCATCGTCCTGTTCCTTTGTCCGATGGGCAGCTGCCAGAGCTGAGGACTGAAGTATACGGAGGCTTCCCTTTCTCTTTTTAAATTCTAGATATTAAGCATAGCCTTGGTCAAACACAGTTAATGGTGATGTTTATTTTATTAATAGAATAAGTCCTGAGGCTTTCACAAAATAATTTTGTTCTGCCAAAAATTAAGAATAAAAGTCTTTACGTAAAAGATGTGTGTGGTGGTGGTGGTGGAAGAGAGCTAGTTTTTATCTGTAAGACCAAGTTATCAGATTAACATGAACATTAAAGAAAAATTCCTCTTCTTAGTGCTATGTTGAACCATAATGATAACAATAATCAGAAACAAAAATAATTCAATTGTTGACTCTACAAGTATTTACTAGCTGCCCATGTGAATGACACTGTGTGCGACACTATGATAAAAATAGTAATAAAATAAGACAGAACTGCTTCAAGAAGTTCCTAATCTGATTGAAGAACAGTACAACAAGCAGGCAATGACAATCCCATCCAATTAGTACCTACAGCAGAATGGGAATGTAGAGGAGGGACCCCTAGTCAGTGTTTGTCATCCCTTTTCACTTCACACACACACAAAGAAGGATAATATTTGCATGGCCAAAGACCTGAGGCAACCTGGTTGCTAGGCCAGTTGAGGTCCTGCCCTATGGGGTGAAGGCATGAGTAGGAGAGTTTGAGAAGGGCCCAGTTAGACAAGGTCAACCACCCACACATCCCTCTGGCTTCTTAAAGTCTAGTAGCTACTGTATTCGACAGTTTAACACAGAACATTTCCATCACCACAGAAACTTCTATTGAATAAAACTATAATCTATAATTCCATTCACTAATTTAAAAATTCTGATATAATACAAAGATTTAGCAATAAATGTAAAAACGCATAATGATGGAATATAATTTAGTAACAAAAGGAATGAACAGCTGATAAATGCTACAACATGGATGAACCTTAATCATGCTAAATCTGAAAAAATCTAGTCACAAAAGACCAAACATTACATGCTTCTATTTATATGAAACATAGACAAAAGGCAAAACTTTAGAGACAAAAAACAGATCCGGATTGTCTAGGGATAGAGATGGGAGGAAAAAAATGACTGCAATCAGGCAGCAGGGATCTTTTTTGGGGTGACAGAAATGTGTTCTAAAACTGGATTGTGGTGATGGCTGCACAACTCCATATATTTATTAAAAATCATTGAATACTTAAAATAGGTAAATGTTATGGTATGTAAATTATACCTCAATAAAGCTGTGAAAACCATAGTACACCAAAAAAAGGAAGCTATTTGTGAAATGGACTTTTCAAAATTTTCCATTTTAGCACCACAAACATATACATATTGCCAGAAATAACGGAACCAAAGTGTCTTCTATAGTAGAATCCAGAGACCCATATAACTCTCTAGTGGCATCTAGTGATATAGGATAAGGCTTTCTTCAAAATGGTTTTATTTCTGAATTTTATACAGTAACAGTATATTAGACAAAAACTATTTGAAATACAAAAAAATCCCTTGTCTCATGACATAAGGAATACCGCAGCAACAAGCACCACTGTTAAGCATGCTTACTACGTACATTCTAGGCACTGTGGGTGTGGCTAAGTGCTTGATGGAATTATCTTAGCCTGGTTTTGTTCCATAGTGCTTCACGGCAGAGCAGAAAAATCTCAAATATTCTGAGGAAAAAAAACAAGGTTTTTCATAACCTCAAATATTCTCTTACAAAAGGAGAACAAGAATTTTTTTTCCTTTCTGTTATTTTAACAGATTTGACAGTTCAATTGATGAAAAAATAAACTAGGTGCAGTTTAAACTGAAAATATCTGAAGCACATGCCCCCTCCAAATAAAAAACTTGTAATAAAAATGCCAAATGATAGCTCAATTGACCTTTCAAAAGATTTTGAAATTGTGGGTGTTACCTAGCACTTTCAGAGCATTTTCTGTACTAATTTTATGATATATAAGGTTTTAGTCAATCCTCAGACTGAAATGAAGTACTCTAATAGTCATTATAAAACTTATTTTCTTAGAATCATGAGTTCAACAAAGACGGAAATAATTTATATGCTATAATACTGCATATTTCAGTTACTTAAAAAAAGAAAATAAAAATGAGTTATCATAGAATTATAAATCCAGGATATTCCGTACCTTAGATTTCAGCTAGTTCAACTCACTCCCAGGTAGTTCATGGCAGAGGAGGAACCCCAAAGGAAAAACCATGATTCCTGGGCCAGAGTTTTTTCTTTGCACCCTTACCTCCTTGGTGTAAAACGCTGCGCGCATGCAAGTGCACACACACACACACACACACACACACACACACACACCATTAGTAAAAGAAGCTGTGAATCAGTCTCAGATCTTTGAAAAAACTTAATGGTTTTTAAGACTGAACTGCTGTCCATTGAATGTTCTCAAATACTTATCTAGTCTTCGCTTAGAAGTAAACTAGATTCATAATTCGATGCAACACTATCATTTTTCATGAAAAATATCAATTTTCTTAATGCATAAAGGTTTAAACTCATTGTTTTATGGTGACCATACATTTAAAAAGATCTCAAAAATCAAACAAACAAAAAACAGTTAATAAGAGAAAAAATATATGAAAAGTATGCTGTCAGAATATAAATTTGTTTTTAATATAAAATGAATGGAGCAAGTTATCATAAATGTACCAAGAACCAGGCATACTTAAACATATATTGACACCCATGTATACAGTAAATAAGTGTTAATGAAAAGCAGCCAATTATACTCAAAAGATCACAAATCACAAAGGTGATGAGCTTCAAAAAGAAGCCAGTGAACCACTAAGAACCAAGGATTAAGATTGCTCTCAATTATTTACTGTGTTTTGGCAAAAACAAATTTCCCTTCAGTTGGCAGAACACAGAATTTTAAGAGCAACCTTCAGGGAAACATGCTCCAGGGACTTAAAATACATCCTGGCCTGTCCTACATGAAAATAGCATATTGTAATCAAAAGGAAAAAAGAACAGAATAATGAGACCATATGTCTGCTGGCTCTTTATCTTACTGCTCATATTCTAACGGGTGTGAATAACTTATTAGATTGCCAGTGAGCTGGAAGTCTGAAAGATAAATGTGGCCCAAGAATCCCCTCATCTGCTTACCTATAAATTCTCAAAGTGTGAAGAAAGTTAATCTTTTTAAAATAATCCCTAAAAGACTGTTCTGTGTCTGAATCATTATTTAATGACACCAACACCCTGTCATATCGAATATGGAAATAGCCAAAGCTCTGTAATTCATCAGAGAAAAGAAACCTAAAAACACATTCCAACTGATTACATTATTTATAAAGGTAAAACTTTCTTAGATACTGACAATTATTTTAAAAGATAGCAGCAGCCATGCAGAGCCAATTGCTCTAAATGCTTTCCAATGGGGTACTGGCTCTTTCATTTACATTACACATATCTTTCTTAAATTCTAGAAAATTCTCTGCCATGTTTTTCTTTGAAAATTACCTCTTCCCATTTCCCTCTTTTTTTCTTCTTCTGAAATTCCTATTGGGTTATTGAATAATTTTCATTTTACCCTTCATATGTCAACTTCTCTTTCATATTTTCCAGTGCTGTCTCTATGTGCTACATGCAACCTAACTTCCTCTAGTCGTCCTTCTGTTCACAAATTCTTCATTCAGTCCTGTCTAATCACACTTCAGCCCACCCTTGAGGTTTGGGGGGTTTTAATTTGAGAGACTATATTTTTCATTACTAGAAGTTCTGTTTATCCTTTTCAAATCTGCCTGGACTTTTGTAATTCCAATTAACTGAAGTTCTTGGGATCCAGTCCTGCTGCTTGTTATGCCTACTGACTTCACTCCTAAAAGACTTCTTCCACATACGTTATTAAATGTGGGATTGTGACTTTTGGTGAGACTTTATCTGCAAATTCTGTATGGTTTGGATTAGAAGCTGTATTCTTCCAGAATAATGGCTTCTACCAGGTAACCCAGGGAGGCGATCAGCCCAGGACAACTTCACTTCTATCTGTGGGTTCCCAGAAAATGCAAGTTCTATAAATTTGACCCTCAGGAGGACTCTTTAGGGGAGTAGGCATTCTTATTCCATATAGATTCAAAATCATTTTGCCTGTTATCACATGGCATTAAATTCCATCCACATGCTGATGACTCTCAAATTTCTGTCTCCAAGTCAGACTTCACTCCTGAACTTCAACTCCTATAATCAGTTATCTATTGAACACCTTCCCTTGAATGCCTCATATGCATTTCAAATCTTACCATATTCAAATTTTAATCTGATTCTTGATTTCCCTTCCTTGCTCCTTCCACCCACCCCGCCACCAAAAAAAAAAAAAAAAGTCAGCAACTCCAGCCTTCCAGCTCAGCCCTAGTGGTGCACATGGCCTCAACTCCCATTCACCACTCCAGATGTGGGGACACTTGGTGATTTCCTTTCTCTGCATTCCAGCACCACTTAACATTGAAAAGATTTACTTATAATATTATATCCGATAGAGAGCAGATGCTTTACCCCATCTGTTTAGATTATCACATTGATTAGGAGTTCTCAGTGTTGGCTTTTCAAATGAGAGCAGGAAAAGGAGGCTACTTTAAATTGCCTACAGTTATCTCCTCATACCAGGTTACTCTTAGGGTCTGTTCCTTTCAACGCAATGCTACTAATAGGGCTCAGAAAAGTATGTAGAAACCACTTCCTGCCCAGGCACAGTGGCTCACGCCTATAATCCCGGCACTTTGGGAGGCCAAGGTGGGCAGATCACTTGAGGTCAGAAATTCGAGACCAGCCAACATGGTGAAACCTTGTCTCTACTAAAAACATAAAAATTAGCTGGGCATGGTGGTGCTCGCCTGTAGTCCCAGCTACTTGGGAGGCTGAGGCACAAGACTCACGTGAACCTGGGAGGTGGAGGTTGCAGTGAGCAAGATCGGGCCACTGCACTACAGCCTGGGTGACAGAGTGAGACTCTGTCTCAGAAAAAAAAAAAAAAAAAAAAAAGAAAAGAAAAGAAACCACTTCCTATTAAGAAACCATGAATGTGGATCTATTTTGGCTTTAGGATAAGGACCCTCACAGACTGATAAACTGCAGATTGGCATTCAAGATCCTTCCAATAATCTATCTGATCTTACAGCCATTATGTCCCCAATGCAGCCAGACCTACCTGCTGTTGCAAAAGTATGTCTCAGTGACATCTTTCTTCCAAGAGTTTACCCATGTTTTTCTAGCTGGAATGTCCTTCTCATTATTTTTAAAAAGCCCATTTATTCTACAAGGACCAGTTCAAATACTACCTCATCTGCAAAGCCTTCTTGGATCCCTGTCATGTACCCTGCTTTTGGCTTACTTTCCCCTCTGCCATTACCTTTACTAACTGACCACTTACAGCACTGCAGTTCTATTCCAATTACGATGTTAGTCATTATGGGAAGCACAAACATGAACAAACTCAGACATATTCCCCACTGAGGAACAGAATTAAGTAATATGCCCAAACAGACTTGGTTGGGTCTATCAAGGACCAGTAATGTTCATTTGGATAACCTCACTGCACCATACCTCCTAACCTCCATAGTGGCTCAACCCACAGCAATTTTTCTTGCCTTTCCTTACACCCCAGACTCCCTCAAAGAAGTGAGGCCTTGCTTGTCCCAAACTCCCCAGCTCATTTGGCTAGTGTTCTCAAGTAAATACTTGTTAGCCCTCTTCCTGATCCCCACATCTGTCATTAGTGGCAAAAGTGATGCTATGAAAGGCTAGACCTTCTAGAATCACAACACAGCTCTTCCAGACTCTGGTGTCCTGCCCACTGCCTAAACTCTTTTGATACTATTTTACAAGCACTAGACTGGACCACTCAATACCAACATTTGTATGAGTGACATCTGTGCCTACTAAATCACATTAGGATACCCTGGAAGTCCTTGCCAGGGCTAGTCTCTGGAATTAGACAAGTCCTCCCCAGACCATGTTATTCATTCTCTACTTGCACTTCCCTTCTTTCTTTCCCTTTTTAACACTTGATTCACCATTGCTCCAGATGACGCATAATAATGGCTGTGGGGGACTCATTCAGTCACCTCTAATTTCTCTATTTTTCTGTCTAACAATCCCTAATAGGTACTGTAGACTCATCCTCTTTCCTCCACAATAGTTTAACCTGATACAGAATGAATCAAGCACAGAGAAAGACAGCTACATAGGGTGCTAAAAGAGGTTATCCAGTGGCCAATACCTGGAGGGGAGACTCTACCACCACACATGGCAAAGGAAAAAGGGGAAAAGAAAAGGAAAAGAAAGTAGCTGCCAGAAAAACAAAAAGCCCAGCTTCCTTCACATTAACTGTTCCTCTATCCTTCTGTATAAGCACTGTAACATACTCACCTCTTTTATTCATAGTCTTTATTTTCTAAGCACCATATTAGGTACTTAAAATCTGGCAAAATGGTTGCCAGAAACAGTGACATAATACAGCTTTATAGATGGTATTGTATCAAATATTCTCTTAATAATATCAACATTCCAATTCATCTGGTACTAGTTTCTCATCTCAAATTATATCCTGAAAGCACTATGCACAACCTTTAAAAAATATATTAAAAAAATTTATATATAAAAAATAAATTTTGAATTATACAAAAGTGGTAAGGAAAGGCAATGAAGCCACATATACCTTTTACCTCACTTATACAACTGCCAAGTGATTCATGACCGATCTTGTTTCAGTTATACCCCTCCCTACCCTCTCAACCTCAACCAGGGTTATTCTGAAGCTAATCCCAGAGATACTGTCATTTTATTCGTAAGTATTTCATCTCACATCTCTTATAGGTGAGATTTTTTTTTTTTAATAATCAAAATATAACCAAAATATTATTAAACCTTTAAAATTAATAATTCCTATGCTGGGTGCGGTGGCTTATGCCTGTAATCCTAGCACTTTGGGAGGTCGAGGCAGGAGAATCACTTGAGCCCAGGAGTTCAAAACCAGCGTGGGCAACACAGGGAGACCCTGTCTCTAAAAAAATACAAAAAACTAACCAGGCATGGTGGCGCATGCCTGTGGTCCCAGCTACTCAAGAGGCTTAGGTGGGAGAATCACCCTGAGCCCAGGAGGCTGAGGCTGTAGTGAGCAGAGATCGCGCCATTATACTCCAGGCTGGGCAACAGAGTGAGACCATGTCTCAAAAAAAAAAAAAAAAAAAAAAAATCCATAATATCATTAAATATCCAGCCAGTTTTCAAATGTCCGCATGTGTTTTGTTTGCTTGAATCATAATTAAAATTAGGTCCATACATTGGCACTGGTCTCAAATCTCTTGTATGCTATAGGTTCCCCCACCTTCCTCCCCCGGGCTCTTCCCTACCACCCTGAAATTTATTGGTTGAAGAAACTGGCATACAGAATTCCTCAGTCTAGCTTTTGCTGATATACTTCTCATGGTGTCATTGAACACGTTATATTTTCCCCTGTATTTCCTGGAAAATGATAGAGCTACAGGCTTGAACATATTTGGTTCAATTTTCTGGCAAGACTACTTCACAGTGGGAAACATGTAATATCTGGTTATCTCTCTTTTTGTGATGTTAGCAGCTATTAATGATCACTGGCTATACTATTTTACCAGAGATTGCAAAATGGCAATACAGTGATGTTCTATGATTCTTCTATCTTTTAACAACTGTGATATGCTAATAATGAGAAACTTCTCATCAATTACTTGGTTACTCAGAGCTACGGTTCATATAGCAGAAGAGGTAGAGAAAAATGCTTGAGTCTTTCCATTTATTACGTTTTCAAAATGAGTTAATTTCTTAGCACCCTCTAAAGCTAACCAATTATTATTAATTTTTTTTCTTTAGTATTACTGTGAACTTAGGATTCAAATATATTTAATGTATTGAAATATATTAAATATATTATCCTTATTATCCTTAGTGATCCTCAAACTATCTCATCTCTGGCTCCTGAGTCCTTTAAGATGCCCTCAGGAGTTTCTGACAGCTTCCTTGCTTTCTGAACTGACAAGATATTAAAAGCTCATCTGCACATCTCCTGCCCTAGGCCTGCAAGTAGCTACTCTCCAAGGAGCCTTCATTTACTTTAGTGGGAACTGATATTTAGAGACAGTCTGGGTTCTAGGGGTGCTTACTGCGACTGGATTGGTCCTTGTTTCCAGGCATTGCCAGGGGAAAGAGCTAGAAAATTTACCATCACAGGGTCGTTCCTAACCTTAGAAACTTTTACCTGTTTCTCCTTTAAACTACACTAAAAGTCCAAGTTTCCAATGATATTATCTTAACCAGTCATTTGCTTTATCCCATAAAATACACACAAAAGCCTTAGAATAACAATACCAACATAACAAGCATAATACGATTACTCTAACAGTTGAGGATTATACTTTTGGAGACGCTTTATCCTTCAGTTATAATCTATTAGGGCCATATAATCAAACATCTGACATTTGAAATAGTGCCTCTCTGTATGGTTATGTAAGCAAATTGAGAGAGAGAAAAAGAGAGAGAAAAAAATGAATTAGAATCACCTGTCTCGTTTCAATCTTTAGGGCTCTTTTACACTTTAATTTTGTTTTAAAATTGTGCAAGATATGTATATTGTCCCAAAGTCAAAGAGACAAAACAAGATATATTCAGAAGTCCAGCTTCCAGTTTCTCCCCCACACGGTTCCCTCCATTACTCTGTAGATAACCAACTATTGTTGTTTTTAAAGTTTTATTTTATCCTTTCTAATTTCTTAAATATTAGCACTGCCACCTCTTTCTTTGATAAATGATATATACTATACTCACTTGTCTGTACCTTGCTTTTTTTCAATGAAGATCACCCCATAGCAGTATAAAGAGATATTCCTCATTCCTTTTTACAGGTGTAGATACAGTAAAAGTTATTCAACAAATCCTGTACTAACCAACATTTGGATTGTTTCTACCTTTTGCTATTTCAAACAGTGCTGTGATAAACAGCCTAGTGTGTGTTTGTGTCTATTCTTATTTTTGCTGGTGTAACACTGAGACAAATCCCTCGAAGTAGAGCTGCTGGGCCAAAGGGTAAACATAAATGTAATTTTTCTAAATAGTGCCAAATTCTCTTCCCTAGTATTTACACCATTTAGCATTTCCTCCAGCAATGTCTGAGAGTCCTGCTTCTTCCCTTCCCTCCACAGCATCATCAAGAGAACAGCTTGTCGAACTTTTTAAGTACTGTCAATATAATCAGTAAGAAATGACATTTCAGTAAAGTGTCTGCGTATTTCTTACCAGTTGAAAGGTTAGGCGTCTTTTTCTACGTGTAAGAGTCATTTGCAATTATTTTTCTGTAAACTATCTGTTCATGTATCGCCCACTTTCTTGTTGAGTTGACAGTCTTATCGATTTTTTAGGGATATTAACCCTTTGTGATAGAAATCGCAAATACTCTTGTCCAATTTGTCACTTCTTTTTTTACTTAACTTGTATTTTTAGCCATATAAAAGTTAGTACTTTTACCATCAAATTTTATTTCCCATATTATAATCTGGATTTTGAGTTATAGTTAGGGTGTTTATTCCACTTCCGGGTTCAGAGGAATTCAAGACTTGCATAGTTTCATTTTTATACATTAAGTGTATAATTCATTTGTAATTTATCCTTCACATAACATAAAGAATAAATCTAATATTGTCTTCCTTTATTATATACTTAAATTCCATGTGCAACTGCATCTATTTCTTTATTCTCTACTCAGCTGCACTGGTCTGTCTTTTAAGCACCAATCCCAGAGTTTTAATTAGAAATGCTTAATACTATATTTCAATAATTAGCAGGGCTACAACCCTCCTCCGCTGATCTGCTTTTGAGGGTTTTCCTTATATTCTACTTATTTGTTCTTTTCAATAAAATTTATGATGAACTTGCCTACCTCCCAGAACACACACACACACACACACACACACACACACACACACAATCATGATAAAGTTATAAATTAAGGAGAATGTCAAAACTATGATGTTGAAACTAAAAGCTAGGCATAAGGACTAAAAGTTGGGGAAAAAGCCTTAAAATATTTTTTACCATTCTGTGCTTGTGTAAGGATATATGCTGAACCCAGAAAACCTTTGCTGCTTTATCATGGGAAAATTTTATTCAACCAAACTTACATTAACTACCAAAGGAACACAATTTATTTAATTTATATCACATACTGTATAACAGGACAGATTAGGAAAAAAAAAAACAAAACAAAATAACCAAATAACAAAGCACACAGGACATTAGGAAGGTACCTCCTCACCTTCCTTTTTCAGCCATTTCACAATGTTTCCTTCTTCCATTGTAGGAGACAGTGATGGCATTAGTATCTTAATGGGATCACCTGAAATTGAAAAAAAGGAAAGATGAGCCACAACAAATAATGCACCTCATGAGGCATCAATATAAGTTCAAGTAAATTAACGTCAAATTCAATTTGAAAAAGAAGGTATTCCAAAGTCTAAAAGATTCCCAACTGGTAAACTAAGTCTCCAGTAAATTGTATGGAAACATAAAATTCAATTTTTTATAACCACAAAAGTGTTTTTTGGGATATTTTAAACTCTGTTTTCATAATTCCCCAGTGTTCTATGCATCTTCTCAAGCCAGGTGCTTATAAGTCAAAAAAAAAGGAGAAAAATTGATTTAGGATTGATTTAGGTTTCACCTCCTCCTTTCCCTTTTGTTTCTGCAAAATAGATTTACAGGTAAAATGACCAAAGAAAAAGCCAAATAAAACAACAACAACAAAACAGCAACAACAACAAAAACACGGTTCTGATGATCGACAACAGAATAATCAAGATCAGACTTTAAGAAACTGGCTGTTTTTATTTTCATCTAATATTATAGTATTCAAGATTCAAAGGTTCCTACTAATAAGTATGAAAGGAAACGTTTGCCTTGTCAAGGATGATCAGAATTTAAATGGTTAAATTAACCTCACATTTTGTTGCATACCACAATTCAACTGGGGATCCAGAGAAGTAGACCTCAAACCAGAATGATCTCCCAATGAAACATAACTACATTTTCCTTAGGTATCGAAAAAGCAAACACTATGTATTTGTCCGGCTGCACTTCCCAATCCACCGTCCAGGGTTACATTCAAGAGCACCATGGCTTTTAGATTACAATTTACTAATAAAATACCATGGTAACAAATACGTCCATCCCCTATAGCTTTCCATAGACCCTATTCTCTCTTCAGATTACTCAACTTTCCAGACCCAAACAAGCAAAACACTGTAGCATAGCTAACATATTTCAAATGTGGAAGAACAGGGCTTCTTTTGTCTCCCCTGATGTTTTAGGGTTAAAAGCAAGGAAATTGAGCACTAATGTTAAATGAGAATAAATATTTCTCTTGGGAAGCTGAATAACTTGTACTGCATTTTCAAATGGAGATTTCCTATGGCTTCGTGATAAAGGCGCTTCCACCTCTTTGAAGTATTTAAGAGAAAGTTTCTGTACCTCTCCACTTTTCCTTCACTCTGAAGGTCTGGAGAAAGAATGCAAGCATGCATACCTGCCTCACTCTCTTCCTTATTTTAAGAACTTCCTGATCATAGACAACCTGCAGTTTCCTATCAGCTCCTCCATCCACGTGCTAGACACACACGGCGCTGCCTTTCAAAAGCAGCTCCACAGGCCCCACCTCTCTGTGTTCTTGCCATCAGGGCCCACCAGGTATGAGGCAGCAATTCGGATATGCGTGTTTGCTTTGTACACACACAGTCTCCCTCTAAAACAGAAAGTTCAAAGTCTAAAGTGGGGTTGTACTAAGAAGCCCAGTCTTAGAAGGCCACAGATCTAAGTCACATTCTCCAATCCAATGTAACTATCAGCATTTGATCTCTATCTGTCTTACCCTTTCTCTCTCTCAACTGGCACCAAATTCTAAGAAGGCTGGAAAAGTAGAATTATCACTCCTAATGCCCCAAAAATGACACAGCCCAAACCAAAGTCCAAGTCAAACACGCCCATTTCATCAATGAGAAAACCACAATCCAGACTGATTACAGGATGCGAATCTTCATGCTAAACTCTCAAAGCTGTGCTAACTTTACATCTCAATGTTCCTTACAAATATGGATCATCAATTAATTAATGGTTATTGATAGCTTATATTCACTCAGAAATCCAAATATAGCAAACCAGACATATCAGATCCATGTGAGCATTCTTCATATGTCTAATCAAATATCCTTATAAGCCTTTTCCCCACCTTGAACATGCAGAATTCTTGTATTAAAACACCACTTTTGCCGAGGTGGGCAGATTTGAGGCCAGGAGTTTGAGACCAGCCTGGCCAACATGGCGAAACCCCACTCTATTAAAATTTAAAAATTAGCCAGGCGTGATGGCACACGCCTGTAATCCCAGCTATTTGGGGGGCTGAGGCATGAGAATCACTCGAATCTGGGAGGAGATGGTTGCAGTGAGCCAAGATCACTGCACTCCAGCATGGGCAACAGACCAAGACTCTGCCTGAGAAAAACAAAACAAAAATACCACTTTTACTACTGACAATGAATATTTCAAATGCATAAGAGAACAGGTTATCTCTAAGTGCATTATATATGAAAAACAGGAGGAAAAATAGCCACAATGAGTTTCCTAACTCCTAATTACGAAACACCGTTATTTTGGAAGACACTGAAGAACAAAGCCATCCAACTCCAGTCCACCATGACTCTCAATAACTGTAGCTGAAACAGTTTCACTGAATTCCCAAGCTACCTCTAGTTGAAATGCTAAATTATAACTAGAAGATAGCTTTCAAAATCTTTGCATTTTTTACTTAGTAAAATAAGTCCTTGTGATTAAAATATTAAATAGGTAAAAAATAATGCAAACTACTAAATACAACCATAATGTTTTGTCTATAAAATGCTGGAGAACTAAATTCTTGAGTGAACTAAAATTAGGGAAGTGCACTTGGAAAACACACATACACACATACTCTCTTACACACAGGAAAACTTATAACATTAGTGATGCATCTCCAAATCCAAACCATAACAATCCTACACTTAATTGCAAGAATTCTTAAAACGTGCATAAAGCTTAACACACTGAATGCATTTGGAGATAACAGAATGAGCTTTCTAATCCTCTACACTATGTGGTGTGTCTACTGCCTTTTTCTTTTTTACATGGCTTGATGAAAAAATCAAAAACAGTTGCTTAAAGAATGTACTGTCAGCCTGAGCCTCAGCATTTATTTTGTTAAGCTCAGAATAACAAACTCACTTGTTCTGGGGAAAAAAAAAAAAAAGGAGGGGGGTGGGCAAAAAAAAACTCTTATCTTTTAAATAGCACCACGGTAAGAGGCCAGCCTCTTTTCGAAAACAAAGGCTTAAAAAAAAAAAAGTCCCAATGTGTTCTTTCTATCAAAAAGTTCAAGCCAGGCATTATGAACAGAATATTTCATAAATATATACATATTACATTTATATATCAAAGAGTTCCATTTCAAAGAAGCAACTAAATGGACCTCAATGCTTCTATAGCCAGATTCCAATTTACGACAAATACTAACTTAATTCTCTTAAAGTCTCTCTCCAATATTTGTATGCTTTGGTTCCAGTTGTCACGACACAATTCACATTTATTTTATGATTCTATCTCCTGCTATAATCTCTCACCTAAGAGACCTTCACATTTCCATTACTCTTGACATTAAGGACTATATTATGAAACCTCTGCATTTATTATTATCTTTCAAGTTACCACATCAAGAACCTCAAAAATTTTCATATTTTAAAAATAAAAAGAACATAATCGTTCCTTAGTCACCCTTCATGAAATGAATTGAAATTGCTTATCTGAATTATGATAATACAAAAATTCTGTAGTAGATCATTATCTTTACTCTGAAATGAAGGTGACAAAAACCAAAGAAAGATATTTTGGACATCTCCATTATTCAATACTATCTCTTGATAGATTACACTCGCTTATTACGGAGAGTTAAATGTGCAATATATTTTGTAGTTATTCTAACTAATCTATCCTCAGGCTTTCATGCTAGAAAAATCATTTCATAAGCATTAATGTGTTAATAAAAGTACATATTTCATTCTAGCATACCCTCTTTTGATTAGAACACTATATGGTATCTTTTCCAGACGTATTTTTCTGATGGGAAAGTAATTACACAATCGTAAGATAAACTTGAAGTGACAGGCCTGCACATAATTAATATCTGCCCTTTATGGCTGCTGTCAACTCTACTAAGATAGTGTAGACTTTTCTAGACTCCTTGGAATGGAATTTTATCCTTTACCTAATATTAATTAATTTGCATTTGAACTTATATGCAGACTCCCTCCTTATTCCAGTAAGCTGTACATTCTACCATTCTCTTGTCAAATTAAGAAGGCCTTAAGATATGCACCAATTACGTTTCCTAGTATTAGTTTCCCACAACTACAGGTAAGTAGTTTGCTGCACTCATTACACAAGTTTTTCAATTAGTATTCACAAAGTTCTCAAAATTTAGTTAAAATTTAACGTTTTGTAGTCACTTCAGTGTTCTGCTCCTTCTTATAAAGCTAGCAAATTATATCTAATTGGCTTGTGAAGTCTACCCTTCCACAGCAGTTACAAAACATTTTTAAAAATTTTTAAATGACTATTGTAATGTATGTGGTCCAGTACTTTATATTTAAACTTGCTGATTTTAAAAGTAAAGTCTCATGACTCATAACTATTTTACTCTTTTTTTACATCAACAGAATGACACAATACATTAAAATTTTTTGCTTAGCTTATTGCTGTTTTCCCTGCCATTTCTGCTACATGAGCAATTTACCAATCACTGAATTTTACAGTAATCCCTCTAAGCAATTCCTGTATTTCCTCAAATGGGCTCTTCCAATTTTTCTACAGCATAATTCTGACTTCAATTTCAAATATGGTACACTAATCTAATTCTAGTTTCTTCTTCCCTAAAGTATTTCTTTTATCCTAAGAACAAAATGCTCATACTTCAGCAAACTCAATTATATCAAAGCTTTAAATTGATGATTGATTCATGAATGCTAAAAGGTCTCTAGATTAAAAAAAAAATTTAATACAAGCAAACTCTTAAAATACAAATGCAGAACAAACTGCTTTATGGTTAATATGAAGCAGATTTAAGCTCCATTACTCTGACTAAAGTAATTAAGGGAATTCAGCAGTTTACATATGGTACAGCTTAAACATCATGCTCTAGTTCATTTATAGGCTCTAGTTCATTTATAATCCAAGCATGCAAAAATCATGAAATGAAGATAGACCAAATGAAAAAGTAAATTATCCAGTACTTTCTTAGTGTGGCTCCCTGTCTCTAACATTAATTTGCTTCTTCTCTAATAGGGAGAGAGACTGTTCATTTAATCACTTCTCATTCCAATGTCAGAACACACTAAATAAAACGGAGCCTTCAAAATTGCTGTTCAAATGAAACAATTCTGCCATCTGCAGGCTGGATGAAATAAGGCAGAATAAAGTAAAAGTAATTTAAAAATCAGCACTAGGCACAGAGTAATATTAACACTTGGAATAAAGGCAGTTATAGTATTTTTTGTTTTAAAGGATCGTTTGTCATATAAGTCTTCTTTGTTCAAATAGTTATTTTGGTGTGGTACTGGAGTAAAAATAGACTGAAAATGTCAATGGACCACAACAGAAAATGAATGCACAACAGTTTGTGTGAAAACAGCATTTACAGGTCTTGGCATGCTAACAAACATAAAAAAGATAACCCATAAGCAATATATAGGTTGAGTATGCCTTATCAGAAATGTTTGGGACTATAAGAGTTCTTAATTTCAGATTTTTTCAGATTTTGGAATATTTGCATTCATTATTCTTACTGGTTGAGCATCCCTAATCTCAAAGTCCAAAATCCCAAATGCTACAATGAACATTCCTTTGAGCATCACCTCTGAGCATCATGTCAGTGCTCAAAAAGCTTTGGATGTCAGATTTTCAGATTAGAGATGCTCAAACCTGTATATGGCATCATCCAATTACTACCTGCCCAGCTTGTACACATACAAAGATTGAAATGAAATACTCCAAAATGACAATAGTAGTCATTCTAGCTAGTGATATTACTATAAGGGCTTTTTATTTCTTTTATTTCTGATAACCTACATTTTCATACATGTCTACAATAAATTTATCCAATCTTACTTCCTCTTTCAAACTTAACTAACACTAAGTTTAAAAATGTGCTGTTTGCTTTTGTTAATTTTAAGCAGAAACCCACAAGGACACAGAGAAAAGGAATAACAGCATACAATTTTGGAAGCAGAAAAGTAAATAGATACGTAATAATCAATTAAAGAGACCCTAGAAAGCTGTATCCTAAGCCAGGGAGGATTTGGGTGGCTGCTGTTTGAAAAGTAGCTAGATACCTGGATCCCCTCTCTTAATCCAGTGGTAGGTAACAACCCTACCCTCATTCAACAGAAGACTGAAGCTTGTTTTCTCTGCAGAGGGCAAAAAGAAGAGCTTGAAGTTCAATCTACATAGCTGAGGATATATAAAAACTGCAAAAATAAGTTAAGTGAGAAAGTATCTGATGTGGCTGACATTACAGAAAACTGTGTGGAGAAGCTATTACATACCGTGAGATAAATTAGAAATTATCACAGAAAAAACTAACTAAAAATTTAAAGGGCAGCAATAACTGCAGCAAAAAGAAAGCTAACAAACAAAATATGGGACAATCCTCAATTGTGCATAATATTTGTTTAATGTAAACACTGAATATTTGACCAAGAATTACAAAATAATTTCACTGGGGAGGGAAAACAGAGGGCGGCACTGACCGGCAGTCATCCACAGAAAACGGCTAAAATAGAAACAGAGAGATGGGCAAATGCCAGAAGAAAGTTAAGAGACAAAACTAGTTACTTCTAAGGAAGACTGGGAAAGTTGGGTGAGATGGGGCAGAGATCCACTGTACTGTTACAAGCCTTTCAGTACTATTTAAACTATATGCATGTACTATTGTGCTAAATGAAATATTTTATTATTTAAATATTTAATTTAAAAAAACTCAAGGAGAAGCAGAATACCACAGTGATTTAGAGAATAGGTACTGGAATCAAACTGCCTAGGCTCTAATTTCAGATCCACCACCTACAAGTTATTTATTCTATCTATGTCTGTTTCCTCTTCTCTAAAATGGTGCCATAAATAGATTTTTGTAAAGAAATAAGGTAGGCCGGGAGCAGTGGCTCATGCCTGTAATCCCAGCACTTTGGGAGGCTGAGGCGGGTGGATCACATTAGGTCAGAAGTTCAAGACCAGCCTGGACAACATGGTGAAAGCCCGTCTTTACTAAAAATACAAAAATTAGGCTTGGTGGCACATGCCTATAGTCCCAGCTACTTGGGAGGCCTGAAACCGGGAGGCAGAGGTTGCAGTGAGCCGAGACCGCCCCACTGCACTCCAGTCTGGGCGACAGAGTAAGGCTCCATCTAAAAAAATAGAAAGAAAGAAAGAAGGTAACACATGGGACTTGGCAAAGAATAAGTCTCAAAAATGTTAGTTATTTATTTTTGATGGGCAGCATAGAAACAATTAAGAGGGTATATTCTGGAGGCATCCAGATAGCTGGCTAGATGTATCACAATATCCTATTACATTGTAAGATGTCACAATATTGTAGAATATCACAGTTCCTTCTTGGAGTAATGAGAGATGCATTCACAGGTTCCTTTCACCTTCCCAGCCTAAACTTGAAGGTTCCCTTTTTACTCTCTCCTTTACCTTATTCAGCAGTGTTCTCATGACTAAAGTACACTAATTCTTGATCTCTATTCTAACTACATTTCATACTTGAAAACCAACCTCTCATTAAAATCACTGGCAAATGTTTTACCTTCAGTGCTCATACTATTCACTTCCAAAGCTAAAAGCCAAATCAGGCATTCAACAAATGCCTACTGAACACTTGTTATCCTAGCCCTAGACCAAACCAGATTCTCGACCTCAAAAGGATTAAAATTTAGATGAGAAGATAAATACACAAGTACTAGACAGTAGTAGATAAAAATGCCATTAGACCATCAAAGAATTATGAGAGCTGAGATTCTACCTGATGGAACACTGGAAAACAACAACAAAAAAATCTGTACTAGTATTACTTAATATCTATTAGGATGGCTATTATCCAAAAAAAAGCTAGGAAATGACCAAAATGTTTATGGAAATAGTCTCTAGACTAGGTGGTATTTACAGACAAATTACAGGGAGATCTGAGTCCTCTGGACTCAGAATTATATATAAAATTGTGTATGTATGCACTTTCCTGAAGAAGTTAGTGGTATAGCTTTTATAGTTTAACAGATTTGTTCCCCTCCAAAAACCAGGGCTAATATATTCCCAAGAAATCTCTCCTGAATTATACATTTGCTGATCCTAATTTTTCCCTAGGAATGTTTCATATAATAAAGTCCTTGATTTATACAGTAACAGAAAGATATCAAGCAGATCACTAGCTATAGTAAATGTACTGCCTACCAAAAAAATGAATCACCCATATACCCCATCTTGTTCATAGAATCTGCTGATTCTATATTATTATACTTCTACTTAGTATCCAATGGCACATTAGAAAAGAGGTTAGCCAGAATTTTTAGATAGCATATGGTGTAGAATGCATTTCCTTTGAATGAAATAAACCAAACATTTTAGAAGAGATTTCAGCTTGGAATACTGTCCTTCTTGGTATTAAACTATAAAATTAAAATTCTACATGAAGTTCACTTTACTTTGCCATCTTGGGAGAAGAGCCAAAAGAAATTACCATTCCATTTACAGCCTAGCAAAAGAATACATACACACACACACACACACACACACACACACACACAACGATACTTTGGGAATTTACACATTTTGTCGTAAAAGGCAAATTAAGCTCAAGACAACAACAAGAAGGTATATTTAAGAGTACATCACCTTAGAAATTTACAGATAGGAGAAGTCAATATATACTCTAACTCTCTTAAATAGTCCTGCCACCCTTACACGTAGTCAAGAATTTTGGTGTCCTTAATTGTTCTAAAATGATAGGCTGTCACAGAAATGCTAGTCTACAATGCGGTTATTACTATGTCTGATTTCATTTTTTTAAAAAAAGCAAAAATGTTCATTTAGGATGTACACACGGTGAACTTTAAAACGTCAGCATGCTGACACTGTTCTGCTGAAATCTATAATCAAGCTATCACTTGATACTGAGGTAGACTATGGTTAAGGAAACAGGCATTGGTGTCAGATCTGGGTTGAAACCTGAACTATCTACCAGAGTATAGTATTAGTTGTGAGTATTAAATGAGCTGATTCATGTAAAGTGCTTACAAGGGTGCATAGTATATAGTAAGCTCTCAACAAATGCTACTTATTATTCCCAAACCTATCCCCAAATTTCTTTCTTGCTGGTAGCTCAACTTTGTTCAGCAATATACTTTTCTTGTGCATATGTACTCAGAGTTAGTGATTCCACACCCATCCCCTTGATTAGCCAAAGTCTATACATTTTTCACACAGTGAAGTCAAGCCAGTGCCTAACTTAAGAAAGGGCATACGACCCAATTCTGGTCAATACAATATAAGAAAATTCTGCTGTGGTAACAGAAGATGTTTCTTGTTCTGCAAAAAAGACATCCAAGAAGAAAGGTCCTCTCTTCTTCCTCTGGATGTCATCACGTGCACAGTTCCAAAGTGGTCATCCACTTATCCACTAACCTTGGGTAAAATGCTAAAACCTCTCTGAGTCTATTTCTTCTCCCGTGAAACCTGGCAAACCTTTGCAGGGTTTTTATGATGGTTAGAAGTAATGCAAATATAGTGAGAGCTCAGTATGTGATGGCTACTTCTAATACCCTGCTTTCATAGACAGAATAAAATCCTTTAAAACAAGGTAAACATATACAAAGTATTTCCTGATCATCTAAATCTTCTTAGTCCCTCCTGTTGCTGCCTGTAGTAAGATCTCATTTACCCCTGTCCTATTTTCTTTGGATGGGCAAACATCTCAGCTGAGTAGCCTACAAGTGCTTTGCTTAGATGATACACTTTGCTTGGTCATTACTTAGCGCAGAAACAATTAAAATAAATAAAATAAAATAAAATACTGCATTACTGGCCTATTTTAGTCAGATGGTCATAGCAACAGAAATGTCAATCATTGATTCTCAACTACTTTCTTAAAGAAAATGTCCAAATCGTAGCCTTCGAAAGAATCAGCCTTGCATGCCCTGTAGCACAACTGGTCTACTTTGGGTCAGTTTCTCTATTCAAGGAATTTGAAAGGAGATTACAGAAATGATGGTGAGCACTTAAACAAAACTGACAGCGCATCGTGCATAAAGGCCTGAATCACCACTGAGGCAAGGCAAGCTGACACTGAGAAAGAAAAGCCAGGAGTAAACAGATTGATAATTGCAAGTCTGTACAGGAAAACAAAGTAAATAAGAGAAAGAAGACAAATAATATGAGCCCTAGAAGAAATAGATGGAATAATTATGGTTTCCCCATGGCCCTGCAGCATTTTATAAGTGATGTTCTATCCTTTTAATAAATCCTACTTTTACTAGAGCTATTCTACATGTTTCTGTTTCCACAGTTAAATGAGAATTCAAAGGAGAATATCAATCTTATCAGTGTATAAGCACTTAATAAGAACCAGGCCTAAAAGAGTATCCGTGTTTTGGCAGAAATACCATACCATTAACTCTATCAAAGAAGTTCCCTCTCTCCTGGTTATAGCACTGCTGTCAAAAACTCAGATGCCTACAAAAAACAGGCAGGTGAGAGAAGAGGACTAGCATCTTCAGGTTTTTTCTTTAGATTCTGACATCCTTTATTTTCATATTAAATGGATAAGCATTTTCCTCCTTTACACATATACACAATATCTGCTTTCTCCCATTTTTCTTGGTCTTTTGTCTTCTGCCTTCCGTAGAGATAAGAGTACAAGAAAAAAAAATGACAACTAGAGGTGATGCAAATACCAAGGGACATTCAGCCTTGCTAAGATGTAATACAGAGTAGGCGGCATAGTGACAAAGTAGGAAGCAATTTCCTACCTAAAAAGAACAATCATTACTCAGTGTTAGATAATTGTCACCACATAGGATTTAACTATCAATTTTAAAGAGAGAACAAAAATCTAGATTTCTCTGTAAAGTCTCCTGATTTTAAAATTTTGCCATAAGTTTTTCTGCTAAAACAATGTGGGTCAGTTCCCTGGCTGCCAACTTGGAATCCTACTGTAGGCTCTAGTGTTCTTTTATAACTTCCTAGATTACTAGCTTCCTTAGATATGTTTATTGAACATCTATAATATGTATTGCCTATAATTATATACTAGGCAAATCGCCACCAAGATTGAACCTCAGTTACTTTTCTATTCACAGGTTATTTTAAATTCAACATGTTATTCTTCAGAGACAACTTAAAACCAATACTATTAATTAACATCTTACCAATTATATTCCAAATCATGCTACCTACTCTGAAAGGACCACAATTTAAACTCTCTGAAGTTAACTGTCTAGAGTAGGTTGAAAAACTGTTTACAGATGCTGTGTCAATTATATAATGATCACTCTGGTCTCTGGGTCTTTGTTTCTGCTGTTCCTTCAGCCTGTAAGGGCTGTCACCTCTTCCTCTAAGAAGCTGCCTTATATATTATTTCCTGATCATTTCAAACTTACCCCCTCTGAGCTTACTGTATACACTATTGAAATCATACCTTTATTGTTTATGTCCCCAAAGAGACTACAAATACCTTAAGGATCAGCCCTATATAGAATTTTGGATTGCATGTCCAGGAGCTAAGTATGATTAAATGTGCCATGTGGCAAATACTGAGAATCTGTTTGATTCAGCTGGCCACTACTTCCCAAGCAGGGTACCATGTGCCTGGCACCTAATAGATGCTAATTTCTTCACTCATTCTTCAATAATGTAAGTGGTAAAAAAGATAGTCTCTGCATTCTCAATAAATCTGTTGAGAGAATGATACAAATTAAAGATTTGTTAAACAAATTAATATATGTATATAAATATATACATGCACTTCAGTTCATCAACACAGTTACATGTCTTTAGGAGACTCAATTTCTCTAAGCCTTGGTGTTTTTGTCCAACTAAATGCAGATGATGCCAACTTTACTAGGTTATGTGAGAAGTGAATGAGAAATTCTAGAAAGTGCTAAGAAAATGGCATATGTCATAGCTCATAAAAATGCTGCCAGCACCTCTTAAGGAAATTAAAACTCCAAAGGTAGTTCCGACTGACAAATTTTTAAAGATATTTGTGTGAAAGACGAAACAGTTCAATAAATGTACTTAATTTATATAGTTTACAGTAATCCAAATAGTTGTTTAGTTTTATAAAACTACAGTTTCTACCAAGCTCAGAGAAAAAACACCACCGTAAATTCACAGTTTGTAAAACAAATAGTTCAAGGATTGCCACGTGTTTTCGGCATGGCAAAACAAAAATCTGTATGTAGGTGAAAGTCAGAAGCGGATATATTTTGGCTCGGTATTAGGAAAAAAGTCCAACACTTCCAAATACTTAGTATTTCCAAATACTTTCCACAGCTTCACATGCAGAATGCCATGCCTCAAAAGGTTCACGTCCTAATACCCAGAACCTATGAATATGCTGTTACATGGCAAGAGGGAATTAAGGTTAAAGATGGAATTAAGGTTTCTACTCAACCTTGAGATGGGGAAAATATTCAGGATCATCCAGATGAGCCCAATGTAATCACAAGGGTCCTTGTAAGTGGCAGAAGGCAGAGGGGAGTATTAAGAGTGACGTAATGTGATAAAGACTGAACCAGCCATTGCTGACTTTGAAGCCCATGAGTCAAAGAATCTTAGAAACCTCTAGAATCTGGAAAACTTAAGGGAATGGGGTCTCGAGCCTCCAGAAAAGAATGCAGCTCCTACCAATAGCTTGATTTTAGCCTAGTTAGATCCATTTTGGACTTCGGACCTCTAGAACTATGAGATGTGAATTTGTGTTGTTTTAAGCCACTAATTTCTGGTAATTTGTTGCAGCAGCACTAGAAAACTAATTTGGCTTTCCTTGAGATGCCATGCCTTCTTCCTGACAGATGGTATTCAAACTGGGGTAGACAAGTTGTTCATGGTATATGTCTAGGGGATAGGGAATAGGTAAAAAAGCATCATGAGGATGCAGATAAGGATTGCTTGCCTAACTGAGTTTCTAAAGGCATTAAACTGGGCCTATGTATACTTTTTTTTTTTTTTCTCCTGAGACAGGGTCTCACTCTGTCACCCAGGCTAAAGTGCAGCGGCAGGATCATAGCTCAATGAAACGTCTAACTCCTGGGTTCAACGGATCCTCCTGCCTCAGCCCCTGGAGTAGCTGGGATGCCAGCACGCCTGGCTTTTTTTCTTTCTTTTTTTTTTTTTAAGTAGAGACGGGGGTCTCACTTTGTTGCCCGGGCTGGTCTCCAACTCCTGGGCTCTAGCAATCTTCCAGCTTCGCCTCCCAAAGTGCTGGGATTACAGGCGTGAGCCACTACGTGCACATTTTTGTGTGTGACCATTTATGGTACTTCCTCTGTACAGAGAGTCTGTAACATTTTCAAAGATTCTCAAAAGGATCTGCTTGATAAACAAGATTAAGAGCACTCTTCCTAGATTATATCCAATACTAAACTTTTAATATTCCATGATTTTCTAAGGCAGTGAGTCTCAAAGCTCATTCCATTAAATGTCAAAATAAAACATCAAAACTCATCCAACATTTGTAAAATGCAGATTCCTGAGCCCCACACCAGACCAGACCGAATCTCTAGGAGCTGGAAAAAAGTTTAATTTCAACAAACTTGGAGGAGGGAAGAGAAGGAATTCTGCACACACTGTTAAAGCACCTCTGCTCCAAGGAATATGTTATGAAACATTACACCAAAAATGAAATAAATTGTTCCCATTAAGGAACCTTTAGGAACCCCAATACACTCATCTTACCATATGACTTTGTGTGATTTTTTTTTTCTGAGCCTAAGGTAGCTCAGAATATGAAGGCAACGTCTACTAGACCTATTTAAATTAAAATTCATTCTGTAGAGTGCCAGGAACGATGATTGGCAGGTAATACGTCACACTAAAAAACGTCAGTCCTATTCTCCATCCCCGCCTCCCTCCAACCTTCTCCCAAAATAAGGAAAAATAATACCCGGCCTGCCATTTTGCATACTGTTAAATACTGCAAGAATTGTGTTAACTGCATCAATATCATTACTAAACAACAATTTTCTATAATAAATTTTTGGTATGATTTATCTCCTAAATGTTTGCTCTTTCAAGCGAATATTTGCTTGAAACATTCTCCTGGACCTTTGTCTATCGTGATGCCGTAGGAATTTACAAATTTAAGTCTTCCACGAGTCATGGCGTGGGGTAAAACTCGACTGGCCTCAATGAAAACACCTCCTAACAGAGAGAGGCCTAGAGAATAAGTAAGAACTCCCAACAGTGGCTTTTCAATCTCGGCAACCTTGGGCAGCTTTTTCTCGTCCGAGACGTTTGACAACCCTAAAGAAACCTGAGCCTTGATTGGAAAGGGGGCTGAGGGAGGAGAGTTTGGGAACCCTCTCTGCGCCTCACAAATAACCCAAATTCCAAGGCAAGGTCACAAAGCCATACAAACCAGGGGGCCTAGGGCAGAGTCGAGTTCTCTCAGCTGCCAAGAAAGCCCTTCACAGCATGCATTAGGCCAAGTCGGCGGACCCCAACCGGAGAAAGAGGAAAGGGAATAAGGAGCCCGCGCACCTTCACACCCAAAAGCAGGCCCTCAATCATAACTGCCCCTGTCCCAGGCCCATCACTCAGCTACACAGAGAAGCTGAGCGAGCCCCGGCCACTCACCCCGAAGCCACTGCGTGCTGTGAAACCATCTCCAATTAGCTCCGCGGCTTACAGACCACCCAAGAGCCCCCTTCACCAGCCCTACGCTTCGGCGGCCGGGGAAGCCCACAAGATAACGCAGCAGCCGCGGATCACAGCCCAGCCTCCAGGAGGCCGCCATCTTGACGGCCTTCTCACTGGCTGCCCGCAGCACAGCCTGATGTCCAGCATCAAGGCCCCGCCTCCCGCATGGTTGGCCACGCCCCCAGACGCTAGCGGTGCCTTTAGGTCTCTCAGACTTGAACCCCCGCCCCCCAACCCAGCCCCGCCTCCAACCACGTTGGCCTTGCCTCCCGGGAAGTCAGGTGCGCCGCTGGATATCTCAGCCGGCGGGGCCTTACCAGACCCCGGCCCCCGCCCCGTTCGCCCCGCCCCCGGGCTGCCCTCAGCGCCGCCTGATTGCATTTGCGGCCTCGCTGCCGTATCCCAGGCTAAGCGCCGCGCGCAAAGCCGTGCGGAGATTGGAGGCCGCGCGGGTCCCTGGTCTGGGCCATGTCTGGCTGTGATGCTCGGGAGGGAGACTGTTGTTCCCGGAGATGCGGCGCGCAGGTAGGGGCGGGGCCACCGGTGCCCGGTATTCCCAGGAGGAGAGGCCCAGGCGGGACCCGGCGGCTGGAGCTGGGCGCAGGGTAGCGGGCCGGGCGTTTAGCTGCGGGGCGGGGTTTCGGGCCTGGCCGTTCGCTACCCCGGCGCACCGCGACCTTGGCGTTCGGAAGCAAGGCTGCGAGGCCCCAGGAGATCAGTGGTCTCGGGCGGGGCGCTCCGATGGCGGGAGCTGGGCGCCAAACGTTGGAAAGAAGCAAATAACTGAGAGAGGAGAGCGTTTAGGTGACCTCACCGGGTATTTATCAGGAAGGCAGGCCAGAGAAGGAATCGTGAAGCACCGAAGTGGAGCTGGGGCGAAGACCGCGCCCCCCAAGCTTCTTTTCTGCGCCCTGACGACCAGTTAGGCGTTTGGGGGGACGTTTGGCACTCGGGAGACGTTTGCCGAACCGGAGCTGTGCCTCAGCTGCCAGCGCTTTGCCTTTGAGCAGTTGCTCCTTGCCTATCTCCGTTTAGATGAATTGTGGGATGATCATGGGAACGATTCTTCCTTAAGCCGAAGTCAAAGGGAAATCCACCCTCACGCTGCATGTAGTTTTCGGTCATTTACACAAACCAACAGTTTTATGGAGCGCCTTCTACACGCTCAGAGATAGGGATACGTAAGATAAATGGCCCAGGGTCTGGAGAACTAGACGAATAAGCAGTTTCAGCACAATATGATAAACCCCACCTAAGAGGCAGGGAAACCCCTCAAAATTAGTTTCCTTATTCCCCCTATCTTATTCCTCCTATCTATATCTTTCTTAGGGTTGAAAATCCTAATTAAAAAGTAGTAACTCGCGGGAGATTTCATTGCTAAACATTTGTCAACCACTTTCTTGTTTGAATAAGTGACTTCCCCAAATTAGCAAAGACGACTCTGAAAATAGAATGCTGCATAGGCAAGATTGGATGAGAGAGAGAAGATCTTGGAGACAGGACAGGTAACTGGAGATCGTTCCTGGGCAAGTGTGTATGGAGAAGTGTCCGTACCCTCAATCAGTAAATCTTAGTGTAATGTCATCAGAATGAGCATCAAAGAGAGCCTTAAGGGACCCGAGAATAAACTAGGATTCTCAAACCAAACATGGCCCACAGACAGCTTGGTGGACAGGCATGTTTTTTTTTTGCTGCACTCAATGTTCATGAAAAATTTGAGCCAACCTTTTTTTTTTTTTTTTTTTTTTTTTGACACGTTTTGCTCTTGTTGCCCAGGCTGGAGTGCAGTGGCGTGATCTCAGCTCACTGCAACTTCTGCCTCCTTGGTTCAAGCGATTTTCCTGCCTCAGCCTCCCAAGTAGCTGGGATTACAGGCGCATGTCACCACACCCAGTTAATTTTTGTATTTTTAGTAGAGACTGGGTTTCACCATGTTGGCCAGGCTGGTCTCGAACTCGTTATCTCAGGTGATCCACCCCCCTAAGCTGCCCAAAGTGCTGGGATTACAGGTGTAAGCCACCACGCCCTGCCAAGCCAACATTTCAAAATCCAGAATCATTTCAGCTTCTTTTAAAACCTCAGAACACATGGTGACATTGGGCCCTTATTTTTTCATGGGATCTGGATTGCGGTTACTAGTGAACACCACCTTTACAGAGGGTGCTGGCCAGGTTACCACAGCTTCCACTACTCACACTGGATTTGCATATCTAGTTAAATACATGAGCCCCTCTAGATATTTGTATTTGTCTGGTTTTGTACAAATACATAAAAACAGCAATAAGAAAAGTTTTAAGAAGTCATAAAATTTCATTGTAGTTTTAGGGGGTCATGGGCAATGGAAAGAGACAGTCTCTTTGGCCTTAAGGAAGGGGAATGTTCAACTGTAAGTGATTAATTCAACGAATATTTAGTGAGCGCCTACTATGTGCCAGGCATTGTGGATTTATAAGTGCAAGCTGCATCTGGTTCCTTCTCCCCTAGAACATGCTGTACAGTGGAAGAGACAAATTAGCAAAGAGACAAAGATGGTATGACAACATGACATAGTTTGACATATGACGATATGACTTAGATGGGAAAGTTCAAGGTAGTTTAGGAGTATACACTTGAATGGGTTAGAGAATACCTCAGGAAACAGTGAAAGTATCTACTGAGGCCTAAAGGATCAGGAAGACATAACCACATGCAATGAAAGTAAGGATATTCCAAGTAGGGGAAGTAGCATGTACACAATCTCAGGGTTGTCCTTGATTACAGACATGGTGTGTTCCCATATTAAGTTTGGTGTTCTGGAACATAAAGTAGGGGCCAGAGACTTGAGATGAAGCTAAAGAGAAAAGCTAGTGAGAGGTAAAGCCGCTGGGCTTCTGGGTCGGATGGGGACTTGGAGAACTTTTCTGTCTAGCTAAAGGATTGTAAATGCACCAATCGGCGCTCTGTGTCTAGCTAAAGGTTTGTAAACCCACCAATCAGCTCTTTGTAAAATGGACCAATCAGCAGGATGTGGGTGGGGCCAAATAAGGGAATAAAAGCTGGCCACCAGAGCCAGCAGCGGCAACCCCCCTCGGTCACCTTCCAGGCTGTGGAAGCTTTGTTTTTTCGCTCTTCACAATAAATCTTGCTGCTGCTCACTCTATGGGTCCGCACTACCTTTATGAGCTGTAACACTCCCTGCGAAGGTCTGCGGCTTCATTCCTGAAGTCAGCGAGACCATGAACCCACCGGGAGGAACGAACAACCTGCGTGCCACCTTTAAGAGCTGTAACACTCACTGTGAAAGTCTGCAGCTTCACTCCTGAAGTCAGCAAGACCACGAACCCACCAGAAGGAAGAAACTCTGAACATCTGAACGAACAAACTCCGTACACACCATCTTTAAGAACTGTAACACTCACCGCAAGGGTCCGCGGCTTCATTCTTGAAGTCAGTGAGACCAAGAACCCACGGGAAGGAACCAATTCTGGACAAACTAGGACCAGACCTAAAGGGCCTGTTAAGCAAATCTTAGATTTTTAAACTAAGGGCAATGAGATAATCAGCAGGATGACTGAAGAAGGCCTGGGGATTGCTGGCTAGAGTTAAAAAGACCAGAGGCATGGAGACAGACTAGGAAGCCGTGGCAGGCATCCAAGCAAGAGATGCTGTAGGTCTGAGTGAGGGAGTAAAATCAGGAGGTCTTGGTTATTGATTAGATGTGTGTAGTGAGAAAAGAAGTCAAGAATGACTTTTAGGCTTCTGATCTAGTGATTGGGGCCTGGTGGTCCACCAGAAAGAGAATACAGGAGGAAGAAACAGTTTATGATGGGTGTGTTGTGGACATGTTGAGTTTGAGGTACAGCCTCAGCATGTGGTACTATACACTGAGTGTATTTAGCAGGGTTCTCTAGAGGGACAGAACTAATGGAATATATATATAAAGGGAAGTTTATTAAGCATTAACTCACGTGAACCCAAGATCCCGCAATAGGCCGTTTGCAGGCTGAGGAGCGAGGAGAGCCAGTCTGAGTTCCAAAACTGAAGAACTTGGAGTCCAGTGTTCAAGTCGGGAAGCATCCAGCACGGGAGAAAGATGTAGGCTAGGCCAGTCTCCCTTTTCACATTTTTCTGCCTGCTTGTATTCTAGCCATGCTGGCAGCTGATTAGATTGTGCTCATCCAGATTAAGGGTGGGCCTGCCTTTCCCAGCCCACTGACTCAAAATGTTAATCCTCCTTTGGCAGCACCCTCACAGACACACCTAGGATCAATACTTTGTATCCTTCAATCCAGTCAAGTTGACACTCAGTATTAACCATCACACTGGGTATTGCTTTCAAGCTAGGAGAGAGAACTGGATTGGAGATAAAGATTTGGAAGACTTGCTCACCAAAACCTTCGCTCTCAAGACCTGTGTATTTATATTATTCTGTCTTTGATAGACACTCTTTTCTGAACACATATTATAAAAGATATTATATATCTTTTCTGAACACTCTGTAGCCCATTCAATAATTTTTATTATCATTTGCAGTAACATCCCCAAGTGACTTATGTTTCATGTACTTTCTTCTTGTATTCTAAAGATTCTTCAGGCATCAAGTGTATTATTTTCGGGTCAGACTCAGCTTATGACAATAATCTCTGACCTGGTTTTACAGCTCTGAAATTAAATCCCTACTGACTGGCCCTTGAACTGATTTTTTCTAACATCAGCAAAAGTCAAGGAGTGTTTCCCTAAAAAAGAAAGCATTTACTCAGAAACCGTATATTGAAGTCCAGGCTGAAAAATGCAAACATGAGTAAGTTGTTCCTATTTTTCAGAAACTTGGGCAGTTGCAAATGCATATTTATAATTAATATATACCAGTAATGGGCAGTGGGGCATGGGGGGAAAGGATGAAGTTCCATTAGGGGATGACAAAGTATTTTGCAAGTATAGAGGGAGGGGAAGGTCATTTCATACAGTGACTCATGGAAGACTTCATGGAGAATATGGCATTTTAGATTGGCCAGATGGAAACCAAAAAGAAGATACTAGGGCCAGCATATGCCCTGTTTTAAGAGGTAGCACTACACAACACTGATCGTTTTTGCTATGTGGGAGTATTATGGGCCCATTGTTTAGTTTTGCTTTTTTAAGGGAAACTGGAAACTCAGATTTTATATGAAATCTCTTGATTTTAAAATTTAGGCTCAGACTCTTTCTAAGCATTGCGTAGACCAAATAAACAACTTCCTGTGAGCCTGAAGCAGTCCACAAAATACCATAACCTCTGATACAGGACTTTTTTTAATGTAAGAGATATGATGTTAATGCAACCAACGTTTATTGAGCAAAGCACTGTGGTAGGTATAGCTATACCAAGAGCCCATTCTCTGCTTAGTTGCAGAGAAAAACCAGGTAGGGACTACTTCTATTTTTTTAATTTTACCTTAACTATCACAGTGTCCTATATATGTTGACACTGAACAAATATTTTTTCTTTGATATTTCTGCAGCACAAGTACATCCAGTACCTTGCCCTTTTTTTTTCCTTGACCTCATCACTGCTGTTCATCTTTACCGCCCCCTCACTCTAACATCCCATTCCCATGGTCATATCCTTCTCTGCCCAACCCCTACCCTTTTACCATACACTTTTTTGGGTATATTCAACTATATGAATTAGTGTGTCTACAAGTATTCTGGTGTCTTACTGCAGCTGGCCTCTGAGTAGCATGTGACAGTCCTCTGGGGAGTTTCCTTTTACATTCCCCTAAGTAGCTGTTCCAGAACCTCATCATTTCACCTCATCCTTTACCCCACACCTGTTTCAAAGGTGACCTTGCCTCCAAAATCACAAAGAAACTGAAAGCTATTAGGTGTGAACTTCTTAATGTCTTCCTCTTTCCACATGCAGTATAATGTAAAGGTTAAGGACCAGGATCTAGAATCAGACTGCCTGGGTTCAAATTCTGGCTCTGCCTCTTGCTATCTTGGTGGCCTTGGACAAGTTACTTAATCTCTCTTAGTACAATAGGGTTGTTATAAGGATAAAGTAAAGTATTCCATATAAAGGCTTTAGAAAAATGCCTGGCACAAAATAAGCACTCTATAAAGAAATGTTAGCAATTCTTATTATCAGTGGTATTATTACATATTTAATATTACATTGTTAATATTATTACATACTTACCTGCATCTTTACCTTTCCTCCCATTCCTGTTTTTCTAATGCCAGCTTCTCTATCTCGACAAAGGCTGACCTCTTAGACCTCTGCTTTCCTGTATGTTTAATCTTTCCCTGTCTCCTCATGTTACCCGTTAGCATGTAACAGAAAACTGTCTTAATTAACCAGTTTTTCCCTTCTTTTTCCCTGTCTAGCCCTTCTTTATAGCAACACTATTGAAAGAGTCATTAGAACTCCATGCCTCCAAGTTTCATTTACTTCTAAATGAAAGTGAGTGAAGCTCACTGCGATCTTGCTTCCACACCCAGTCTATTGAAACAGTTGTTACTTAAGGTCGTGGTTGACCTAATTTACATATGGAGTTGGCCTAGCCAAACCTTTAGCCAGGATGAACCCTGCCACCCATTTCTTTGGGCTGGCATTGAGCAGCTGAACATTGCTGGAGAATATTGCACAACTTTGTTGTCTGGCCTTGCTTCATGATTTCAACCTCAAATCGTCACTTACTGCTGCCCAACAGCCCATCTTTGTTTCTCTAGTAGTTCGGTGTTCCACTCCCAAAGATGACTGTTTTATACCTTTTATTCTCTTGTCAAGCCTCTCATACCCTGTTGCCATACTCAGCTGATGACTTTGTTTATACTGAAGACAATAGAAGTCATTAGGTAATGAACTTCCTCACCTTCCTACCACAAAACCTACCAATCTGCTGGAATGTGAACCCAGCTTCTCTCATTTCATGAAAGGCAAGAAGCCCAGTTCCTCCACTAGAGCTCAGGATCTCCAAGCCCTCTCACCTTCTATAATTATTTCTCTCCTTCTCCCCGTGTCTCCTATTAGGAATCATTTCCTTTCTGGTAAGACTGTTGTCATCAGCTTTCAAGCCCTTCCACATCTTGCCCCTACAAATTTATCTTCCGCCACCCTCAGCACTTCCTCACTCTGCTCTAGCCAACTGATCTTCCGCCTGTGAAGTACTTGCTCACTTCAGAGCCTTCACACCTGCTGTTTCCTCTGCCTGGAGTACTTGCCTCTCTCAACACAAAACCTTGCACACACACACGTACTCATTCATCACACACTGGCTTAGTTCATGTCTTTTAGGTCCTAGATTAAATGCCACCTGCTCAGAGAGGCCTTCCTTGACTGCGTTAATCAAAGTTGATCCCTGCCGTTTTTCTCCAAGTCCCATGTTTCTTTCCTGCTTGGCACTTTTTACAGTTTATTTATGTATTCTGTTTACTTTTTAAAAACTCCTCCCCAGAGTGTGAATTCTTTTAGGTCAGGCCCTGGGAATTCAGGTCCAGTTTATAGCTGAATTCCCAGGGCCTAGAAGAGTGTTCAGCACATGGTAATGTTTCTGACCCACATCCCAGGGAACGATATCATCCACTCAGCTACTCAGCTGACCACACACTTGGGAGTCTTTGAAGCCTTCGTTTGTCTCCTTCAGTTTTCTCACCCCAAGTCCTTCATCTTCCAAATGCATCTTCACAGTCCCTTCCTTCCAGCTTCCTTTTTAAACTCTTTCAGCAGCCTCCCTGCTCTTCTGGGCTTTTGCTTTCTTGACCACTGCCTTTCAGCCTCTTTCGTTTACTGACACTGTGCAAATGTTTCCAAAACAGACTCTTATCACATATCTTACGTTTCAAACTCTTTGGTGGTTTTCAATCATCCATGAAATATAGGTCAAAGCCCTGTGCATAGCATAGAAGACCCTTTAGACTCAGCCTCCCTTTTACCTCCATCCTGCAGAACCTAATTTATAACCACTTCCAGCTACTAAGCATTCTTTCTGACTGAAATGCCCTTTCTCCTCTTCACCTACCCAGCATATACTCCCACCGTCCTTCATTAAGACAGATATAAGAAATACCAACATAGAACAGACTACTGGTGTTAATTCAGAAGTCTGGAGATCACTGATCCAGATTATTAATAGAAGGAGACTGATGCCCAGAAAGTATCACTGACTTGCCTTAGGGCACACAGCTAGTGGGGTCCAAGCTAAAAACAGGCTCCATGTCTTCTGATTTCTAGTCAACACTTGACTGATGAGGAGGAGGAGGGTTTTTAAGTGTGGTGAAGGTAGAAGAGAGAGCTGGGGCATTCAAGTA